>NC_000012.12:70035885-70187400 GCF_000001405.40 Homo sapiens
TTTCTCTGTGATCTTTTCCAAGGCACATTTGTGGGGACCAAACATTATATTAAATGGAATAAAATACAGTCTTACTCCTGTTCCCCACTGTTTTTTGATAACTCTTTTTATTCATTATGTTTATCATGATACTTAATACAGACAAATTCAACATGATCAAAGTCTTATACAAATCTTCACTAGAGTATCTGTTTATATCATTGCCCTTTGGTCAAAATATAATTGACATGAATATTTAATTATGAGATTGCAAAGCTCAAGATGATATAGCAATTCACCATTTTTGGAAACCTTTCCAGGCTCATCTGGCTGAAGAAAATCATCCCGCTCTTTTCTCTTCCCAAAGTAATTTGTACATGTCTTTATACAACTTATATTATGCTATAATACTTGGCAATTATTTTCTGTCAACCTACTCCATAATGACCTCTTTATTTCCTAAGTATATAGCATAGTGCTTGACCATAATAAACATACAGTATCTGAATAAGTGCACAAATGAATGAATTAAATGGATGACTAAAAAGACTATTTTTGGCCTGAGAAAAAGTGTGACAGCATTTTTTTTTTCCATTTTATGATCTGTTCAGGTAGTGTATCTGCAAGGGCTGGGAATATCTACATATTTGTTATAGGGTAAAGCTTGTCAAACCGAAAAGGTAATGGAGTCATAAACCCTTTTAACAAACATGATATTTTAAAAGTTTGGTACACCTGAATCCTGTTTGGATTAATAGCAGGGACTCAGCTATTATTTTAGAGATATGTGACTGCCACACAAGTGCATTGAGATGAATGTCTTCATTAAACTGAATTCTGTGGGAATTCATCACAAACAGTGAGAACCTCTTCAGATGTTCTCTATGTTATTAATGAAAAAGGTCACTTCTAGCTTTGACAGGATGCACTCAACAAGGCTGTGAGAATACACTGGCAAATGTAAGGTTCACTATTTTCAGTGGTTGCTGGGAAAAATATGTCGTAGTTTTACAAATGATGTGGGCATTTGGTTTCAAAGTCAGTGAGAAAGGGAAAACCAAGCAGTCTCAGAACTGCTCTTGAATTCCTTAAACTACCCATGGTTTTCTGTAAATAATCCTCTACCATTATACACACAACACACACACACACACACACACACACACACACAAATGCATGCTTTGCGTAGTAACCTACATGCTGGGATTTTAAAGGATGATAATTTTTTTTTCTTTCATGATTTCAGAGCCAATTGAGAATAGACATAAAAGTCACTTACATGGAAATCAAACATTATTTTTATTATTGAACAGATATTGGAAAACACAGGATGCATGATTATAATGAAGTTTCTAATATGTTCCTCTTAACTAAACAATGTACACACCTAGTCACAAGCATGATAGACAACAATAGGCCTTCCCCACAGGAACAAGCTCCTAAATATATGGAAGGAAAAAAATTGGAATGCATACCTCTGTGGATAGGCTGAATGCAAATAGAGATGTCAGAAAGCACAGAGCTGAGCATGCTCAGTTCCTTCTCATAAAATTTGCCAATCACATAATCAATTTTTTCTCCTAAGAGAGCAAGTAAAAAGAGAGGCCAGGATAATTACTTTAGCAGACCTTTTGCACAAGGAAAAATCAGGCCAGGAGAGAGTTGGCTAACTCCTAATAGCACAGTATATAATTCCACAGGTGGATTCTTTTCAAAAATTAAATATTCAAAACATTTGAAGTTTGGACCACTTCAGGAAATTTATTAATATTTTAATTTGCTGATTCTACCTATTCATAATCGTTGTTGTTACTATAAAATGTAATCAGTCCTCTAACTTGTCTTCATTCTGTGTTCTTCTGCAGCATTCAACTAATTCTTTTTTGTTTTGTTTTTTTTTTTGAGACGGAGTCTGGCTCTGTCGCCCAGGCTGGAGTGCAGTGGCACAATCTCGGCTCACTGCAAGCTCCGCCTCCCAGATTCACACCATTCTCCTGCCTCAGCCTTCCGAGTAGCTGGGACTACAGGAGCCCGCCACCGTGCCCGGCTAATTTTTTTGTATTTTCAGTAGAGACGGGGTTTCACCATGTTAGCCAGGATGGTCTCAATCTCCTGACCTCATGATCCGCCCGCCTGGGCCTCCTAAAGTGCTGGGATTACAGGCGTGAGCCACCGCACCCGGCTGGCTCAACTAATTCTTTTTAAAAAATCAATTAATTCTTTAAATGTCTTGCTGCAAAAATACAGTATAGACTATAAGAACATTTCCCAGGACTGAAGTAACTCGAGTTTCCAGATTGAAAGGGCCAACTGAACATCCAGTGCAAGAAATGTAAAAAGACACACAGCAGTACGCATCCTTATGAAAAGATAAAACTAGAAGACAGCAGAACAATGTCTTGAAGTTACTGAAGAAAATTATTTCCAAGCTAGAATTCTATATTCAATCGGGTGTGAGGGTAAAACACGTCATTTGCAGACAGCAAACATTCAGTATTTACCTTCCATGCATCATTTTGCAGGAGGCTGATCAGAGTATGTGCTCCAGAAAAAAGAGGAAATAAACTAAGAAAGAAGAAAACTTGGCATCTAGGAACACAGTAATCCCAAATGAAGGAATGAAAGGCTTGTGACATTAGCTGAGCAGCAGGCCTAAAGAGCAGGTAGTCCAGACAGGCAGAAGGAGGAAGAACTTGAATGGAACTGATATTTTTTGACATGTTTGAGTGTTTGAAACATTATATATTCAAGTATGTAAAAGATACTCGAATGTATAGAAAAAATGAAGGTACCAAAAAAAGCAAATGAATTTATGACACTTATTAACTTAAAAAAATTAAAAGTTGTACTAAAACTGATGTACTACTTGACTCAGAAGTGTGTGATATTTACATTATCAAAATAAGGGAAACACTAAATATTGGTTAAACAAATAATGTTTTCATATAGTTATGCTGTGAAGATAGGAGGAGGATATTTGGGAAGGAGAAGGAAGAGAGCTTACTCTTCATCTTCCATGGCAGGAAGTTGATAGAGTGTGTCTAACACCAACAAATCCAAAACAGTAGTAAACACAATGTTTACAAGTATGAAGGTAAATATCAAGTTAAGCAGCTGAAAGAGAGAAGTGTGGTTCTTTTGAAAATAAAAATGCTGGGGGAAAAAATGCAGCAAAAAAGCAACACTGTGCAGACCAAGCAAATACATTAACAGAATCATTTAACCTAAGGTCTAGCATTTGTGACTCTACTCACTTCAGACCTTCGCACTAAAGCTTCCAACAAGGTTCTGAGTGTGCTGTTTCAGGCAAAGGAGCAGGGTAAGTGGTGCACTGAGCAGCCAGGTCTCCAGTCCCCATCCCTGCATCAACCAGAGCAATAACCTTTTTATCTAGTTTACTTTTGGGGCTACCATGTAAGATTATATATGAAGGTAGTCTGACACTGCCTTAACACATTAATAAATGTTTGAAAATAACTGGCCCAGATATATGGCGCCAGAGAACACTTCCAAAGCAGATATACAAACCAATAAACCGCCCAGCTGTTATTGCTGGTTTCCAGAGTGTAGCCTTAGATTAGCTAGAGACACCAGTGAGGAGAAAACACTGTCAGTTTCAGACAATGCCCCTAGCAGTTAGGGAGTAAGAGTTACAGGTTGTGAGGTTCTGGTGAAATAATATGCTAGTCCTCAGAGTTATCACCTAACAGGTTTAGAACTCTGGCTTCAAAAATATGGGGGAGTCTTGGGTCCTGGAATGCACATTTAAAGAACCAGGAAAGTATACACAAAGATCAGACATCCACTGCATCCAGGTGAAAAAAACTCATAAATGTAAGAGAATCTATGGGAAAAAAGAATAATCCTTGCCATCCTAAATCCAAGGACAGTGGGAAATATTATATTCACAGAATAATAAAATAAATGTAGTCAAAAATATAAAAGGCCAGTTTATCCATAGAGATTAAACGAGAAATGAATTGAAAAAGCACATTTTAAACTTAAAGGATTAGAAATTTCCTGAGATAATCCTTAATTTCATGTAATTTACTTTTTGAGAAAGCAATTTATTAAAAGTCCAATAACATGATTTAATTTTTGTTTCTATGAGAAAATTCATATAAATAAATTCGCAAATTTGTTAGTGAAAATGTGGCTCTTTGAGTTGTTTCTTTTAGCAGCCAGAACACAAATAAACAAGAAGAAATTTTAATAGCCTCTGTATACAATAAATGTTAATTCCTTTAGCATTAATGTTTTCATAAAATGGGTGGGCTGGCATTGGCAGCTTGAGTTGGAAAGTGGAAAAAATGAGCCAGGAGGTAAAACTGCTAAAGAGGAAAGGCCTGTACAGCAAGAGAAGGATTTATGAAACTTGGGACAAAGAATCAGCTCTATAGCCAGTGCTCTGGTGGTTGAAATGCAGAAAGTCCAAAGCTCTGCTTCTAGAAAGCTCCTCTTTCAGAGGAATTTTGGGATAACGTCATATTTTTCAAATGGATAAACTGTGAATCAGCTTCAGAGCACTGAAATCTCCCAGATTAGGTCAGTTCAAGGATTACGTATTGTGAGAACTTACTGATTATTTTTAAAAGGAAGTGTATAAAAAATGTGTTTTTGTGATAAGCATATTTTAAAAAGTCTTTAGTCCTAAAAATGCCATTTGGGTTCCTAATGCTTGAGTAACATAATTTTTCAATATTAAAAACTATATGGATATAATTGATATAATTTACTCTATTAAATGGTTAAAAGAGAAATGACATAACTCATTTCTCAATAGATTTTGGAAGGTATTTGACTAAATCTTGTACATATTCTCAATCAAGCCTTCATAATATAACATATATACATATAAAATATTACATAACATATTTTAAAAATCTCTATCTCAAAGCAACAGCTGAAACTCTATAAATATTTCTGGTATTTGGAGGAGCAGTTTGGTATCATTACTATTATTTTTTGTATTATTACTAAGAACAATTAGGCAGAGAAATAATAGTAAGGATAAAAATATATCAAGAATCTCCTATGCGTCTGGTACTCCACTAAGTCCTTCTTATGGGTTATTTATCTTATATAATCTTCATAACTTTATGAGATAGATACTATTGCAACAGCAGTTTACTGATGAAAAAGAAAACTGAGACTAGGGAAATTAACTCAGAGATGTGGTAACATATCCAATAAGTAGTGAAGCCAGGATTCAAACCCAGGCAATGACTACAGATCTGGGCTGTTAATTTTTACACTATATTAATTTAATTGACAAATTTATATTGAGTGTCTACCATGTTTTAGGCCTATGAGTACCAGGGATATATCAGTGCATAAAAGAGACAAAAATCACTGCCCTAACAAAATTTACAATATAGAAATAAAAATTTTAAAGGCTGATTTTTGGGCCAGGCGCAGGGGTGACTCATGCCTATCATCCCAGCTCCTTGGGAGGCCGAGGTGAGTGGATCACCTGAGGTCAGGAATTCGAGACCAGCCTGGAGAACATGGCGAAACCCTGTCTCTACTAAAAAGAAAAAAAAAAAATTAGCTACGAAGGAGGTCTATCAGGGAGAAGAGTGAGGACAACTATACCGAATGCTCCTGAGAACACCTGAATTTAGTGATGTAAAAGTTATTGGTGAAGTTGATAAGAGCAGTTTCCGTGGAATTACAGGGACAAAAGCCTGACTACCGTGGGTTATTCAAGAGAAGCGGAGAAGAGGAGTTGCGGAGAGCAAGTATAGGCAAGGCTTTTGAGGAATTTTGTTGCTGAAAATTGCAAAGAAATGAAACAGTAGCTGCAGGAAGAACTGGAACTAAAAAAGTTTTTTTGTTGTTGTTTTGTTTTGTTTTGTTTTTGAGACAGAGTCTCACTCTGTTGCCCAGGCTGGAGTGCAGTGGTGCAATCTCAGCTCACTGCAACCTCCGCCTCCCGGGTTCAAGCGATTCTCCTTCCTCAGCCTCCCGAGTAGCTGGGACTACCGGCATGTGCCACCACGCCCAGCTATTTTTTTTTTTTTAATAGAGATGAGGTTTCACTATGTTGGTCAGGCTTATCTCGAACTCCTGACCTCAAATCATCGGCCTGCCTCGGCCTCCCACGGCCTCCCAAAGTGCTGGGATTACAGGCGTGAGCCACTGCACCTGCTCAAAGTTTGTTTTTAATGAGAGAAAAATACAATGTTTAGGGGCTTATGGGAGTAGTCCAGTAAGGAAAAAAATAATAATGCTTTAGGAAAAGGAGAAAAAATTACTGAGTGATTGACCGGGCGCAGTGGCTCACGCCTGTAATACCAGCACTTTGGAAGGCCGAGGCGGGCAGATCACGAGGTCAGGAGATCGAGACCATCCTGGCTAACACGGTGAAACCCCGTCTTTACTAAAAATACAAAAATTAGCCGGGCGTCGTGGCGGGCGCCTGTAGTCCCAGCTACTCGGAAGGCTGAGGCAGGAGAATGGCGTGAACCCGGAAGGCGGAGCTTGCAGTGAGCCGAGATAGCGCCACTGCACTCCAGCCTGGGCGACAGAGCGAGACTCAGTCTCAAAAAAAAAAAAAAAAAAAAAAAATTGTTGAGTGATGTCTTTGCATATGTGTAAAAAGGACTGGATTCAATACGTACGTGGAGGTATGGGCCTTAGGTGCATGGATTGTCATCTCTAGTAAGAGGCAGGAAAGCAGTGTATACAGCTGCAGATGCTGCTGTGGGGGACAGGTGTAGTGAAGGTCTGAAGAACTGCTCTTCTGAGTGCTTCAATTTTCTTAAGGAAGAAGAAGGAAGGAAGGAAGGAAGGAAGGAAGGAAGGAAATTATCTGAGAACAAGGAAGGAGAAAAAGTTTTGCTGAGGGTTTGAGGAGAGAGGAGAAGGTGGAAAATATTTGTTTAGGAAAATCGAACGGTAAATGGACCAGAGAAGTACAGCGAGATTGCCAGGCAGCAGTCAGGCCATTTGTTATTTATAGTCACAAATTTAAAGTGGGACTCATCGGTGAGAACTGTGTTTTCTTTCAGCCAGATGCTGTGCAGAGGAGGCGGAGAGTTAGATTTAAACAGGGTTGTTTTTTGCCAAGTTAATACAAAGTGAAAGAAAGGCAAAGGAATCAAGAGTCCATACGCAGAAATGAGGATAGTGTTTGTCACAGATTTTAAACTGGAAAAGAAGAGAACTGAAAGGCAGGTGAGGGAAAAGGGAAAGGTACTATGATCAATAGACTAGAAGTCCAGATAAGGTCAAAGTCTTATTGAAGTTGAACATTACAGGGAAAAGACAATAGATGAGAGAGTGAAATGGAGATAATGAAGGAGTAGCAATTATTGATCCTAAGAAATAAGATTACAATGTGGTGATAGGAATGGGTGGCTGAAGGAGGATAAGGGACAAAATCCTTGAAGGAATGGAATTTAAAGTGACTGAAAGATAAGGCTATTGGAAAAATCATATTTGAATATAAAGATATTACCAAGAATTAATACAGAAGATGGGTTTGAGAGAATGACTCTGAACTATGAAATGAAGATTTTTGATTGATATTTTTGTTCAATGGGCTAACGATACAAATACAATAGGCCAAGACAAATGTGTTGGCAAAGACATAGCCAAACACATTTTGACAAGATACTCTCAATTTCAGCTGGTCCTCATAGGTCTTTAAGTTTACACTGCAGTGAGAAGTAAAGGTTAATTTATCTGACACTAACCCCTGGCAGTCCTCCCAGAGTGAGAGTTGGCTTCCTGCAGGGTGGGAATATTTGGCAAACATCCTGGGAGAACACTGAGGTGGAGGAACAAGGCTGAAGGCCAAGGTCCCATGTATCATACACCTCAAACTGCAAGACCTGTGTCTGAGCGCCTGTTCATAGCAGGGAGGCTCTGTGACTGGGAGGAAGCCCAGACCGGGAATGCTGAGATGGCAGAAGAAGGGAAGTCCAACAAGGCTGGGACCCAGGTCCTCATCATACCAGAGGACTTGCTGGCACTTCCCTAAACATGCAGCTTATTAACCCACAGAGCTTGGACTGAACACTCTGCTAGATCATTTTGCGCTATCCCAGAGAATGATAGGCAAAGGAGGAACTGTCCACCAGCTCCTCTTCCTGCCTCTGTAAGCGTCTATGGATAAATATCATTCCAGGTCTAGTGTGTGTGGTGTCAGGCCACTCATCCTGTGTATGTTCCCTCAGCAGACATGATCAAACTCCCCTGGTTTCTTCTTCCTATTTTACATGTCAAGAACAAAAAGAAAATAAGATTTCATTATTATTATTATTATTATTTTTGTTAACCATATATTTGGTATGATGTATTATAATGACTTAAGCCTTTAACCCTTAATTAATCTGTAAGGGTTTTAGGAATTGTCCTGGGAAGTCCAGTAGAAGAGAGAAACTCAAAGCATTTTTTGCAATACCAGCAATGGGTTGCTAAGGCAGGGATGGCAAGCATAAAGCTCCTCATGTATCCACTGTACTCCCAGCGTCATGGAAAACATCAAAGCACCCTTTTCTGCTGACTCACCCCCCAACCCAGAAGATTTTTTGCACAGCACTCAAGAAAAACACAGTAGTTAGTTGGAATTAGCACCAGATACCCTCATGCCTGCTTTCTGAGATAAAGAATACATTGATACATTGATCATGTAACTGAAAGAGGATGCATCATCGGCCTCCATCACTGTCTGGGGGGCCAGTGCAATGCATCTAGAATTTGTATTTAAAAAGCAACAACAATTCAAAAAATCGAAGATTTATTTCATTTCCCCAATAAATGCAGACTCCAGTAGTATCTAACAGCCTTCTTGCTCCTACCTCATTGCCACCAGTCACATATTAGCAGTCTTGGCTGAAATACTAAAGATACTTAAATCTGAATATAATTCAAATCATAGTTTTGTAATATTTAATTCCACCGTGAAACTGAGCTACTATGAGATTACTGACAAAGAGAAGACACTATAGCGTAGTATTGTGTCATGGATTTTAAAGTCGGCCGGATGTGAATTTGTATCAATTTACCATCTCTTTGATCTTAAATAAGTTTCTTAATATCCCAAACCTCAGTTGCTTCTCTCTAGAATGGAGACAATAATACTAACATTGCTGAAGGTAATTTTAATCTACCATGATGATTTAACATTATATGTCAAGTATTTAGTACAGAGGCTGGGATAGAATTAGTGCCCAGTTAATGGTAGCTATTACTATAAATATATAAGTATCATACACTCAACTCACTGTATATCATGTGCAACTTTCCTATGCCTGGGGTAGACTTCTCCACTTACTATCATTCACCACACACACACAAAAATTCAGGCAGCTGCATCCACGTGGATTTCTGATCACGTGAGTCACTGTTAAAAACCTTGGCTGCCCTGACCAAAACTTTGATCGTTTTGCAAGCTGTTCCAGAAATGGGTCAGAGAGTTTTTTTTAAAATGTTTCTCTGTTAGGGAGAAAATAAAAGGATGGGGCTTTTATGTGTGAGTGTTTTGTTAGCTTCTCTGTTTCTTATCAATTTATGATCCTTTAGAAAAGAATAGACCAGGTGAATTGTAACCACAATCACACCCCTGTGATACACAGAGGTGTCATTAAACAATAAGGATCTTGTCCCAGCCAATTATCCTAAGATCAAAATAAAGAAGGGGGTTAGCACTATGTTCTCTCCAAAGCCAAAAATCTCTAAAGCCGCAGAGGAGAGAGCACCACTGCTGGAGAGGCGCTCCTTACCCAGAATGAAAACTGGGAGGAATCTTCTAGCTTCCTCCTTTTACCCACCTTCTGATCTCCTACCAGTCCTTTCTATTGGCCAAACATAGCAAAGCCACCTCACTCCTGCAGGTTGAGTCAGGCCCCAATCACACCAGCCTACCAGGAGCAGGGACGGGCAGGACAGGATCTGCGGGCCAAAAGGAAAACATCTGATAAGTAGGCCTTCCTTTCAGTTCCTTGAAAATGCCAAGCTCTTTCCAATGTCAGGATATTCATATATTCCATGTCCTCTTTCTATAATTCTTTTCCCACCACTATTCACCTCTTATCATTCTTCAAGTCCCAGTTTAAATATTACTTCCTCAAAAAGACCTTCCTTGACTACCTGTGTAAAATAGATCTCCTCTGTTATTCTTTCTTTAAAACCCTCTCTTCTTGCTAACCTTTATAATTATATACATATCTTCTAATTATCTGTTTAATGTCTACCTATCCAGGGGCTAGGAATATCTGTTTTGCTTTCTACTGCATTGTCAGAATCTAGCACAGTGCCTAGCCTATAAAGAGTGCTTAGCACTAAGTAAATAGTAACTATAATTATTACTATCTTTTATTTTTAATAATAGTACCATAATTGGATAATCAGTGAGAGATGTCAGCCCATTCTGAAATATATGTTAATTTCTTTCTGATGCTGTTGTTTTCTTCCTAATATTTAGTAAACACAAGTTGAATGTTTCAGTTCCATGAACACTTTTTAGACATTACCTAGAATACCAAATTTCCATATCTTGAGGCTTCAAAGACCATTAGGGAAAAATTGATACATTCCTTGAACTGTTAAAACAAAAACTATGTTGGCAAACTTGGAATAAACGAATTCTTTTCATCAAATAATCTGTAACTGAAAAGAGAAAAATGTGTACAGTAGAGCAATTTATCATCTGCAAAATCTCTTTATGCTTCACACATTCTGGTTTGGATCTTTTGATTTTTGTTCTTTAAATCTACTGAATGATAAATTTTCCTTGTCATTTCATAGGAGACCTTCATTATTTTTCTCCTACCATCAGTTTATTTTTTTCTCAGTAAAATTCAGCTCCCTTTTCTTTCTTAGCATTTTAACCTACCTGCTTCATGTGGGATAAAGAAATGCCCCATCTTTCACAGATAAAATAAATCTCCACATAAACGGTGACTGTTTTGTCTTTAGAGACTTTGTCTCCAAAATTTCCCACATGTGCCACAATCTTCTTAAGTTATCATACAGAGAACAACTCCTGCAATCGTGGGAAGTGAGGAGTTTGGAGGGCAACAGGTTGGCAATGGGGCGACTGAGGTGACTGTCTTGAGCAATCACCACGTATGGAGCTAAAGAGTCTACTTCCAGGTTCATTTCTGCCATTAGTCTAAGATTCATTTATTCATGAAACATTTATCAAGTGGCTACTGTGTGTTAGACGCTATGCTAGGGCTAGAGATGCATTACGGATAAGCTGTGGCTCCTGTTCTCAGGGAGCTCATTGTGTAGTATAGGGAAACAAGAAAGTAACAAATATTTACAATTTGTGATGTTTAATGCTTTAGGGAAAGTAACACAAAGCACTATGGGAAAATATGGAGGATCCCTAACCCAATTTTGGGCAGGTGTGAGGGTGGGGATGGTACAGCAAAGGCTTTCTGGAGAAAATGATGCTTGCGCTGAAAGATAAGTCTGGATTGCCCAGACAGACAATAGAATAATGTTCCAGAAAAGGCAAACAGTGCTTGCAAAAGTTCACAGCAATGTGTTATTGGTGAATTATAAGTAATTTAGGGCCAGGTTCAGGACAGGGAAGGAAGTGAAAAATGAACTGAAAAAATGAGCAGATGTTGAGAGGTTTTGCATCAGGTGAGAATTTGTTCTTTATCATCAGGTCCTTCTGCACTAACCCAGGTTAAAAGGATTGATGACAGACAGTGGAAAGAAGAGGGACTTTTGGAGTCAGACAACTTGAGTTTGAAACTTGGTCTTGCCACTAGTTTGTAATCTCGGTCAAAATTTCTTGGCCTCTCTAAGCCCTAGTTGCTTTAGCAATACAAAAGGTAATAATGTGCTCTAAAGGATTATCATTAGGGTTAAATAATACATGTAGCATCAGCACATTGCATGATGCCATGTTAAATCTCAACTATTATAAAACAAATTGCTGTAATCAAGAATATCCACACAGAGCTTTGAGTCACATACTTAAGTGAACACAAACTAGAATCTTGTTACCAGAGAGACATTTGTCTGCCTGAACCTGTTTGGATCTTTTTGTTTTGTTTATTTGGCACTGTGTTTTTAATGGTGGTGTATATTTCACAATTTGGTGCTATATCACTGCTTAATAAATGAGTTATCTAGAGTGAATTATTATGTCTTCAGACTTAATCATGCTTCATTTCCTTCATGCCATAGAATTTTTGAGCTAAAAGAGGTTACAGAACTAATCTCTGGAAGCTGGAGAAAAAGCACAATGTTGGAATAGAAATATGTGCTAAGAGCAAACAAATTGAGTATCCATCAGGAGGGAAATAGTTAAATAAACTTATATTTCTATGCTACGAAATACTATGCACCAGCTAAAAGGAATGAGATTGCTCGCTGTGTACTGACATAGCTAGAGCTCCAAAACCTATTGTCAAATGAAAAGCAGGCTGCATAAAGATATCTTCAAAATGACATTATTTTCATACAAAAATATACACACTTGTATAAGTAACATTATATTACTTCTATATGTGCTTATATATGCTTTCTAGGTTACATGTATATAAACACATAGAAAAACTTGAAGTATATACACTAAAATTATAAGTGGCTATTTATTGTCACTTGAGAAAGTTTGTTGGGGCAAGGGGGTAGTATTCCAAGGAGACATTAGCCTTTCAGAAACATTTAAATTTTTTACAGATAATATACTCTTGCTGTTTGTGTAATTCAACATTTGTTTTCAAAAAAGAAACATGGAAAGAGCAAGGGCTTTGAGGCTGGCTGAAACTGGCTCAAACCCTGGCCTCAGCAGCTTGTTAACTCTATGACTTTTGGGAAAACATGACCCCTCTGTCTCAGTTCCTTCATCAGCAAGATGAGGATAGAGCACCTGTCTTGCAGGTTTGCTGCAACAACTGAAAGTAAACCTCCTTGTACATTATTAGCATTCTGTGCATTAGTGGTTTCTTTCCCCTGTGCTGAATGCAATGGCTTTTTTCTTCTTTCTTTAAAAAAAATTTTTTTTTTTTTACAAAATAGGAAACCAAATACAAAGTGGCTAAGTCACTTCCACAAAGCCATACAGCAGTTTAATGTGAGAGCAAGGGGTATAATCCATGTGTCCCACATTATAATAAAGTCAGCATTACACTCTATGGGGCTTTGGGTTATGATGTGTATATGGCTGTTTATAGTAGTAGTTCCAAAGCTCAGATTCCAGGTGGCAGGTTTATTTGCTGATTTGTCATGCAGAGTACCAGATTCTGGGCTTGGGCAACTGTTGAACAAAACAAACCAAGAAAGGCCAGGCAAGGTGTGTTGGGTAGACCTCCGAGGTTATATCTGGCATGACTGTTCTTTTGACCTTGCTGTCAAGGAAATCTAGCAGTAGATATCAGGGGCCTCACTACAAGAAAAACATTGGTATCAGGCAATAAACTAGTTAGCACGAAAGGATGTGGGGTCAAAAATGGACATCTGACATTCTTTTTGACCACCTAGAATCTGAACCCTCTTCCTATGTTTGGGTAATTTTTCGACTTTATGAGGCAGAGATTGACACCCACTATATTAGTTGAAAATGACAGCTAATTTTCCAGCTGCCTTTGCAGCTAGGATATAGTCAGATGGCCTAGGCTCTAGCAATCAGAAGTACCTTCCTTATCAGAGTCCACTTTCTTTAGAATGACAGGGATTATTTGCAGGCCTATGGTGAGTACCCACCAAGGGCTTTTATTACTAATTTTAACTGAAGCCCTGAATTTTAATTTTAACTGTATTTTAATTCTAAACTATTTCGTGAATGCAAAACAAAGGGGATTTTGCTTTCTGATGCCATTGCATAGGAGCAAGATGCTCTATCAGACTCTATGCAATGGCACTCTGTGCCATTGTATGCAGTTCAATGATCTTTACCCAGATGAAACCACACCGGAGGAGGTTACAACTCCTGCTCCAGGAAAGAAGGTGTATTTCCTGGGAACCTCTAAGAACTGGTTGAACCTGCTGGTTGACTTTCTTGGAAGAATGAATGACTAAGTGAACATTTTCATATTTCTCCCCTTTTTGTGCTTTGTAATTGCTGCTTGTCCAAAGTGCCTGAAGACTCTGCTTTCTGGACTAGGGCATGAGAACTTACTTCAGTGCCTATGTAGGACTGCAAGCTAAGCTGCTGCATCTTAGCCTTTAATAGGCATCCCAACTACTTGTAACATGCTAGAACTGTGTGGCTCCTTTCTGTCCTGCAGAAAAGAAGGACTCATGTCTGACACCTCTGAGGCCTCAGCCTCACCCATTTCCTGTTTCGATACCACTAACACCATCAGTTCTATATTGGCTCCCAGTGGCTTTACATACGTATATCTCACCCCAAGCTGCACCATACGCCTCTCACCTCCCACCCTAGGGAGGTGTTAGTGCTAAGATATGGAAGCCACAGATGCTGCTTATGGCCTACACATGTGAAACCCTGAAGGGCAGGGAGTTAGTATCCCATGAGGTAAACTTTTGATTTTAAAAAGTCAGCTGGTACATAAGTTCTTCCCCTTTTCTCCCTCTAGATGGACTTTTTTGAGATGCAGTTTATGTGACTTCTTGCTGGACGATCCTGTGATTTTTTTCAGTAAGTCTCAGTAGCTTCACACTTGATCATGTGGTCTCATATTGGCTTCCCCTTTCCTCCTTCTCTCCCGTTGTTTTCTCATACCTGGAAATGCATCTCCTAATAGAGTAGAAGTATTATACCATAAGCTCATTGTCTCAGGCTCTGTTTTCTGGGTAACCCAAGCTAAGGCAATACCACATAATTCTATAAACAAAATTAGGCCAGTTTTGCCATCTTTGGGAGTTTTTCCTCACTTGGGAATCCTTTCTGAGTTTTCACTCAGTTATATCCTAAATGTGTGACTTTGGGAAATTTGCTTAAGCTCTCTGACCCTCACATTCTTCAAGATAACATAATAATGATGCTTGTTTCATGAAAGAAGGGATTAAAAGAAGACTGAAGATCACTTAGTACAGTGCCTGACATGTAACAAATGCTCATTAAATGTTATTATTATTATTATAAAATCAATCATATGTGCAACTTGATGAAGCCCTGGGGGATGAAAAAGGGGGGCTCATTGGCAGACAATTTAAGCAGCTTGGAAACGTATGTTGGCATACCTGTGAGCACATATGATAATATTGCATAATGAATCCTCTAAGTTCCATTCTATTGTCAAAAAAATTTGTTTCAGAAATGGAGCTACAACTTATTCCAGAGTTAGACTTTTGTGGCCATGGTGAACACGATCCTTTTAAATAGAGAGAAGGGCCTGGGTAAGTTTAAACTGAATTAGGTTCTCAGTTCTCCCAGGCTTTGACTTTGTCATCTGTCACTTCCCTCTCAAAGGGCTGGCAAAGCCCAGGGCAGTTCAGGATTCTCTCATCTGAAGTTCTGTCCGTCGATTCTGAGGGGAGTCTGGGGCTGCTGACAGTAGATGGCCTGCCTCTCACATCTCACTATTCTTTGATCTCACAGTTACAATTGTGTTGCTTTTGGTTTTTACTTGCTGATGAAGAGTTTTTTATTATTTTTTATATATATATTTTTTATTATACTTTAAGTTCTAGGGTACATGTGCACAAGGTGCAGGTTTGTTACATATGTATACATGTGCCATGTTGGTGTGCTGCACCCATTAATTCATCATTTACATTAGGTATATCTCCTAATGCTATCCCTCCCCCCTCCCCCCACCCCACAACAGGCCCCGGTGTGTGATGTTCCCCTTCCTGTGCCCAAGTGCTCTCATTGTTCAATTCCCACCTATGAGTGAGAACATGCGGTGTTTGGTTTTTTGTCCTTGTGATAGTTTGCTGAGAATGATGGTTTCCGGCTTCATCCATGTCCCTACAAGTTTCAGTAGCTGATTCGATCAGCTGGAAGAAAGGGTATCAGTGATTGAAGATCAAATGAATGAAATGAAGCGAGAAGAGAAGTTTAGAGAAAAAAGAATAAAAAGAAACTAACAAAGCCTCCAAGAAATATGGGACTATGTGAAAAGACCAAATCTACATCTGATTGGTGTACCAGATGTACACCAGATGTGTACCAACTGGGGAGAATGGAACCAAGTTGGAAAACACTCTGCAGGATATTATCCAGGAGAACTTCCCCAACCTAGAAAGGAAGGCCAACATTCAAATTCAGGAAGCACAGAGAACGCCACAAAGATACTCCTCGAGAAGAGCAACTCCAAGATACATAATTGTCAGATTCACCGAAGTTGAAATGAAGGAGAAAATGTTAAGGGCAGCCAGAGAGAAAGGTCGGGTTACCCACAAAGGGAAGCCCATCAGACTAACAGCTAATCTCTCGGCAGAAACTCTCCAAGCCAGAAGAGAGTGGGGGCCAATATTCAACATTCTTAAAGAAAAGAATTTTCAACCCAGAATTTCATATCTAGCCAAACTAAGCTGATGAAGAGTTTTACGTGAATTTAATTTTCTTCTATCTCTGACTGCCAGAGACTTTGGTGTTTGTATTATTCACAGGGAACTAGATAAACTATAACCATTTTTTATTTTTATTTTATTTTTTTGCTGAGTGTAGTTTCTCACAGTAGCGGGAAGCCAGAATGATTTGTACGTTACTAAATCTTGGGCTTTGCTTAACATGTAATTCTATGGCCAGTGAGAACAAGTAAGGTCCTAGTATTTCAGAACTTCTCAAAGGAAATTAACTAGAATGAAAAATTACACTGTTCAGCAACAAAACCTAGCAATTGCTTAATGAATATTCTCAGGAAACAGAATATTGAGCCCTCCTTCAATCTCATTTTTGTCCTCTGAGTCTGGAATTCTTGTTAAATTAACTTTTGGTATGTGTTTCTCTTTGGTAATGTAGCAAGTGCAAAATGTCCCTCGTACTCTATACAAATGTGCAAAGCAGATGTAGTTTCCTTGAGTACCTCTTAATTGATGTTCTCTCCCTGATATTTCCTTAGCCTGCTGGATAACAGAAAACTAAAAACCAAGTTTTAGGCTAAGTGTGGAACCTTGGTCTGGTCCAATCATTTAAAGTCTATTTAGGGAGTTCAATCTCTGGACAGTAACTCACGTAAATGCTAAATGTTTCAGTGCTCTTTTTTTGCTTCTCTCCAAGATGATGTCTAGGGTTGGGGAGTAGTATAGGCAGGGTTTATGCGTCAAGATGGGTGTCCCCAAATCTATGTAGGGCTCTGACCTCATGGCTTCAGATGTACAGTGGCTGGAACAATGGCAGGGCAACCCTTATCTGGTAACTGAGTAAGGTGGGGTAGAAAGGCTTTGCCAATTCAGCAGATTGCAACACAATACCGATGAGTCATTCTTACTCCAGAATTTCTCTTCGGGTTAGCTGAGGCTTTGTTGGATTGCATCACAGTTCAACTTCGCCCCTTGACCAGTCCTGCTTCCTCCCTCTTTTTTTCACAGGTATTACACCCAAACTCTGTCTCAAAAAGCCAACTCACAAAACTCATCAATTCACCTGTCTTCTGCCACTGCCTTCATACCATCCCTACACATTGTGAGGAGCTAACTTTGAAGGCTGTTTCCAAACACTCTTCTTTGGAAGACAAAGTCTTCCTCTGTTCAAAGGATGTATGGCACTATTCCCAGTGCTCTTGTCCTCCTTTTCCCATTTGGGTAATTTTAAAAGCAATCCCTAACCTCTTCTCAGAGCCTGTCATTGAACGAGGACAGGACAGGGACCCTGGCCTCTCACCTCCTTGATTTCTACCTCTCTCTCTTTCTTAGTATTCTCTAAATTCCTCACGTCGGAAGGGAGTAGCCTTTCAGTTTCTCTTCACCTCTTTTCTCTTCTTCATCCTGGACATAGAGTAAAATTCTCTGATCTAATTGACAAGTCTGTCTCTTGATATAATGAAATTAGGTGTTAAATTTCAGAAATCTTTTTCTTTCTCAAAGAAGTCTGATTTCCAAGTCTGTTATCTTATTGCGTATTCAAAAAGCCTATTCGGAATGCCAGAAACTGCAGTCACTGTTTCTGTCTCTCTGCATTTCTGTATGACAATCTTAACCCCTTAATCTTTCTCATAGTTTTGTGGTCCTGCTCTCAAGACAACTTTGTGTTTTAATTTTAGCCAGGATTATAACCAGCCCTAGGTGTAAATACATGTTACACATTTGTTTCTAATTATTCCACACAGGCCTTTACATGAGGTAAGCTGTGCAAAAGAACTCTACATCATTATTTCCTATTTCTCCTCTGTTCTACCCCAGGAAAACCAACCCATCAAGTAGCAGGAGAAAATACACTATATTTTGATATAATCCAATAATGTCAGTCTGATCTATGATCTCTGCAATTTCTGCCTAGATGCCTCAGGTAAATTTTCTGTCTTTCTACTCTTTTTCTACCGGGAAAGAGTTCTACTCTTTTTCCCTGCTCCTGAAGGGAAGAGAAGCTCTACAGGCTTACCTTTAGCTATGGGGAAAGGCAGTTGTCAGGTCCTTGATAATCTCTGCTATGCAGTTGCTGATTTGGATTGCTTTGTGGCCCAATGGTCACTAAGATGTAGCCAGAATGGTCACAGGTTGTGGGGAGACATACCAGCACTAATTATGGGATCTGTGTTTTCTACTATGAGTTTCTGGGGTGGGAGTCTCTGCTCTTTGCTCTAACCCTAGGCTTCTGCTGCCCTCTGGCCTTGGCAGTGCCTCTGCTTGCTTTTCTGCATGGCTTCAGCCACCTATGAGGCTCCAGGAGACCAGGCGCACTGCTAAGAATGATTGACTTGGCCTTCTCCCACCACCATGCCCTTGCTCTCATGCCATGGAGATGTAGCAGTTAGCCCCAAACTAGGCTTTTCCCAGAGGCCTGCAGCTTCCCCATTTTGTGCCCAGGCCAGGGAAGCTGACCATTAGCCCTGATGTTTTGGGGCATTTCCTACCTCTCTGGATGCTTCTAAACGTGCTTCCTTCAACCTGCTCTCTGGAGGAGCTTCCTGGTGCTCCCAATCTTGAGGAGAAAGAGCTACTATAAGGGTTCTGCTATCTGACTTCTTTAATCGCCTTTGGCTCCTCTAACCCCTACTTCTTCTGTGTAATGTCCTCACTGTAGCATAGACAGAAAATCAGCCAAGAGAGTTTCAGAAGAGTGTCTTCCCTACTCAGAGGAAGAAACTGACATTGTAAATATTCAGACCTAATTCTCTGCATGCTAATAGAAGCTAAAGGAAATTTCTTTCTTAGAAAAACTTGGCTTTTGAGCTTATTGTCTTACTTCAACCTCAAACAAGAAGTTAAGCAACTATCTTCTTCTCCTAACAGGTAGCTATCCTTCTCCTGAAGCACTTGAACCTCCTTCTTTATTTATTATTATTATTTTTTTAGATGGAGTCTCTCAGTCGTCCAGACTGCAGTGCAGTGGTGTGATCTCAGCTCACTGCAACCTCCACCTCCCCAGTTCAAGCGATTCTCCTCAGCCTCCTGAGTAGCTGGGGCTAAAGGCACACACCATCACACCTGGCTAATTTTTGTATTTTTCAGTAGAGACAGATTTTCACTATGTTAGCCAGGCTGGTCTCAAACTCCTGACCTCAGGTAGTCCTCTCGCCTTGGCCACTCAAACTGCTGGGATTATAGATGTGGGCCACCATGCGCAACCCGTCTTTCTTTATAGGATGAAAAGATGCCGGGTAACAAGATGTATATAAGTCATGGAAATGTATCTGAATATAATTCAAAAGAATCTTATATCTGTTTTACAATAATAAGTTTTATAGCGATTTTTCTGTACACTTGTGATTGTGCTTTGCGTTTAACTTTCGTAACAACCCTTGGGATAAGTATTATTTTACCCTAATTTTTAAAGTGATACATGAGGCCCAAGAAGGCTAAACAACTTGCCTGAGGTCATGTAGTTAATCAGAGGTAGATCCATGATTCAAATTCAGGTCCATCTGACTCTAAATCCCTTGTGCTAACCAGTACAATTCCTCCACTTGAAAAAGTTGACTACAAAACATAATTTTGGTCACGCAGAACTCTCCTTTGGTGGTTTAAGTTTTCTATCTAGTGAGAAATGGCTGGGCTTAGTGTTCGAGAACCAGTCTTTGAGGGTGGGCTATGTTTCTCTGCTTCGTTATCTGTAAAATGGAGATAATGCTACCCTGAACTCACAGGATCGTTGTGAGGTTTAAGTGAGTTGATACAGGACAAGCATTTGGCACAGTGCTTGGCACATAGGAGGCCACAATAACTATTAGCTACTGCTGTTGTAAAAGTCTCATGGCGATATTGTCTTGATCATCAGGCTAAAGGTTTCAAAATCAAATGTAAAAAAGATAGGTTTTTAATTTCCGACATGCATAAACATTTAAATTGTGTTCTGTTGTTTCTTTTCTCCCCTTTATCTTTTAGAAATTAACTTCTATTCAACTGTAGGAAGGAAAGTCCTGCTGTGAATGTTTAGGCAGAATTGAAGCTTTGAGTCAGAAATATCATGGATTGCTTTAATCTGATTGTTGTTTTTTGCTCTGTTGTTTTTGCTAGAAGAAGAAATTGCTTCAATAAAACATTCTATGAATTATTGTTATTATTACTATCAGTATCATAATTATTAATAATTTGTCTTTGCAGAGCAGCAAAGAGAGTGCCTAGAGGAAAGTGCCTGGGCTTTGTGGTCAGGCATGTCTACATCTGAATCCAGTTTCTAATTGATTCTTGGAAAGTAACTTAATCACTATGAATCTCAGTTTTCTTATTTGTGCCTATCTCCTTGATACAATATGCTTCAAAGCCCTAAATATTAACTGACTCATTACAAGAGTTCAGTGACAGTTCTTTCTCCTTCTTACCCCTGCCTCCTATTTGTCCTTTCCAATTACCTTTACATTAGAAGGGTGACCATAAGTGTGTGGGTACGAGGTGAGTGTTGGGGGGTTGTATGCTTATTCTTGAGATCTACTATATAGTAAATGTTATGAGTTAAATTTACTTGTTGGAGTCCTCACACTCAGTACCTCAGAATGCAGCCTTACTTGGAAATAGAATTTCTGCAAATGTAAAAATTAGTTAAGATTGGTTTATACTGGAGAAGTTTGGGCCAGTAACTCAATATGTCTTGTGCCTTTATGAAATGGAAAAATCCAGACACAGACATACACACAGGGAGAACACAATCTGAAGATAGATGTAGAGGTTAGGGTGATACTTCTACAAGCCAAAAATGCCCAAGATTGCCAGCAAACCATCAGAAGCTAGGTGAGACATATGGAACAGATTCTCTCTTACAGCCCTCAGAAAGAATAAGTCATGCTGACAGCTTGATTTTGGACTTCCAGTCTCCAGAACTGTGAGACAATAAATTTCTGTTGTTTAAGTCCCTCAGTTTGCAGTACTTTGTTATGGGAGCCCTAGCAAACCAATACATTAAATGATGAGAACCAAAGCTTTCTCTGTAATGTTTAGCTTGGAGATTCTAAATTTTATACTTAATAGTTTTTAGTCATTTTAAAAATTATATTTTGCAATCAAAATCAAAGGAGGTAAACACTTCATCCAGAGAAAAAATTACCAAAACGGAAGAATGTAAATGACATTCAAATCCCTCAGGGATTTTATGCAACAATGCCATAAAAAAATCTAATAAAATTTTCAAATGACTTCTGATGCAACTTTTACCAATTCCCCATTAAAATAATTAGATAAAATCCAGAAAAAATGAGACAATCATAATAATACTAAAAACTAAGACTGGTAATCAAATTTTTGCCAAAATCTAATATAATATAAATCACAGATTGATGGAACTGGATTTAGAAAACATTTTTAATGACCTGTAAATATGTGTCTTTCTGAAACAGATGAACTGTTGGCCTGAATGAAGGTGAGAAGACACTTCATCTCTTCCCCTCTGCCTGTCTCCAGGCTACTCTATTCAGAATTTATATCCATAGGAAAAGTACATGGCCACAGGTTTTGGTTTTCGAAGTGTCCACATTATGATTCACCATCCTCCCATCCCTGTTAATGTCTAACTTTCCACATTAATTCAGAAATTGAATTTCTTTATTGTAACAGGGAAAAAATTAGGTGAAAAAACCAGTAATGATTTTTTGCATACTTAAAGGTGGATTCTTCATAAATATAGTGTTTATGGAAGTGATAGGGCTATTGACAAATATTCTGGTTCCTTTCTCCTTCTAGGCACATGATACAACTGCGTTTTCCCACCCTCTTTGGAGGGCAGCTTTCTTGGTCAAAGAGATGCAAGCAGAGGTGACGTGTGTCATTTCTGGGTGGAAGCTATAAAACCAGTGCATAATTTGCCATGCTCTCTTCCCTCTGCCATGGTGTATTTTCAGGCCTATACGCCAGGGTTGCTGTCACTGCCTATTTCCACAGAAATAATTAGGCCTGTGAACTATACCTCCTAGGGAAGCTTTCCTCTAATTCTCATATTTGTTTAAATGCTCTCCTTTTCCTATAACCTAAACCTTCAATCAGTTGGCCCTGCTGACTAAGACTCCTGTGGCCTGTCAGCATCTTCTCTGCTCAGCTGAACCTTCACGTTAAGGCTGGTGTTGTACAGTTAAAAGTCAGGCAGTTAGGCCACTCACCCTCTTTGCAATAAATGCAGCAAAGTATTAATATGTCCTCTATATAAAGAAATAATGAAAAATCAGTGGACTTTTAAATTATTTTTAAATTAATATGTTAATTTATTGCTTAAAAAATCCATGATCTCTCTAAAAATAGACAGATAAGGTAGGAAGAAAATTACAAGAACAAATAAACATGGCTAGCAAGGCACATCAAAAAGTTAGAAAAATCTCAAGTAAACAATCTAACATCATACCTAGAAGAACTAGAAAAGCAAGAGCAAACCAACCCCAAAGTTAGCAGAAGAAAAGAAATAACTAAAATCAGAGCTGAAATGAATGAAATGGAGATGAGAAAAAAAACACACAAAAGATCAATGAAACTAAAAGTTTATTTGAAAGAATAAATAAGATTGATAGACCACTAGCTAGACTAATAAAGAAGAAAAGAGACGACTCAAATAAACACAATCAGAAATGACAAAGGGGATGTTACCACTGACCCCACAGAAATACAAACAACCCTCAGAGGTTTTTTTTTTTTTTTTTTTTTTTTTTTTTGAGACAGAGTCTCGCTCTGTCGCCCAGGCTGGAGTGCACTGGCGCGATCTCGGCTCACTGCAAGCTCCGCCTCCCGGATTCACGCCATTCTCCTGCCTCAGCCTCCTGAGTAGTTGGGACTACAGGTGCCTGCCACCACGCCAGGAGAATTTTTTGTATTTTTAGTGGAGACTGGGTTTCACCGTGTTAGCCAGGATGGTCTCGATCTCCTGACCTCGTGATCCGCCTACCTCGGCCTCCCAAAGTGCTGGGATTACAGGCGTGAGCCACCGCGCCCAGCCACAACCCTCAGAGGTTTTTGAGGTTTTTATTATGAACACCTCTATGCACACAAACTAGAAAACCTAGAAGAAATAGAAACATTCCTGGAAACATACAACGCCCAAAGATTAAGCCAGGAAAAATGAAAACTCTGAACAGACTAATAATGAGTTCTGAAATTGGATGAGTAATTAAAAAACAAACAAACAAAAAGAAAAAGCTCTGGACCAGAAGGATTCACAGCTGAATTCTTCCAGATGTACAAATAAGAGTTGGTACCAATCCTACTGAAACTATTCCAAAAAATCAAGGAGGAGGGACTCTTCCCTAACTCATTCTATGAGGCCAGCATCATTCTGATACCAAAACTTGGCAGAGACACAATGTAAAAAGAACACGTCAGGCCAATACCCCTGATGAACACAGATGCAAAATCTTCAACAAAATACTAGCAAAATGAATCCAGCAGCACATTAAAGCTAATGCACCATGATCAAGTAGGCTTTATTCTCATGATGCAAGGTTAGTTCAACATATGCATCAGTAAATGTGATTCATCACACAAGTAGAACTGAAAACAAAAACAACATGATCTTCTCAATAAACACAGAAAAGGATTTCCATAAAATTCAACATCCCTTCATGTTAAAAATCTCAACAAACTAAGCATTGAAGGAACATATCTCAAAATAAGAAGATCCATTTACAAAAAACCCACAGCCAACATCATACCAAACAGGAAAAAAGCTGGAAGGATTCCCTTTGAGAACCAGAACAAGACATGGATGCCCACTTTCACCACTCCTATTCAATGTAGTGTTGAAAGTCTGAGCCAGAGCAATCAGGTAAAAGAAAGAAATAAAAAGCACCCAAATAGGAAAAGAAACAGTCAAACTATCTCTTTTCACAGACAATATGATTCTATACCTAGAAAACCCCAAACTGTCTGCCCAAAGGCTCCTAGATCTGATAAACAACTTCAGCAAAGTTTCAGAATACAAAATCAATGTACAAAAATCAGTAGAATTTCTATACACCAATAATGTCCAACATGAGAGCCAAATCAAGAATGTAATCCCATTCACAATAGCCATAAAAAGAATAAAGTATCTAGAAAAACAGCTAACCAGGGAGGTAAAAGATCTCTACAATGAGAATTGCAAAACGCTGCTAAAAGAAATCAGAGACAACACAAACAAATGGGAAAACATTCCATGCTCATGGATAGGAAGAATCAATATTGTTAAAATGGTCATACTGCCCAAAGCAATTTACACATTCAGTGCTATTCCTATCAAAGTATCAGTGACATTTTTCACAGAATTAGAAAATATGATTCTAAAATTCATTTGGAACAAGAAAGGAGCCTGCATAGCCAAAGCAATCCTAGGAAAAAAGAACAAAGCTAGAGGAATCACATTACCTGACTTCAAACTATACTATAAGGCTACAGTAACCAAAACAGCATGATACTGGTACAAAAACAAACACAGAGCAGTGGAACAGAATAGAAAACTCAGAAATAAAGCTGAATGCCTACAACCATCTGATCTTCAACAAAGCCAACAATAACAAGCAATAAGGAAATGACTCCTTAGTCAATAAATGGTGCTGGGTTAACTGGATAGCCATACACAGAAGATTGAAACTGCACTCCTACCTCTTACCACATACAAAAATCAACTCAAGATTGATTAAAGACCTAAATGTAAAACCTAAAACTATCAAAACCCTAGAAGAAAACCTAGGAAATACCGTTCTGGACATAGGCCTTGGCATTAACTTCATGAGGAAGACTCCAAAAGCAATTGCAACAACAAAAACAACAAAAATTAACAAGTGGGACTTAATTAAACTAAACAGCTTCTGCACAGCAAAAGAAACTATCAACAGAGTAAACAGCCTACAAAATGGGGGAAAATCTTTGCAAACTATGCATCCGACAAAAGTCTAATATCCAGAATCTGTAAGGAACTTAAACAAATCAGCAAGTAAAAAGCAAACAACCCCGTTAAAAAATGGGTAAAGGACATGAGCAGATACTTTTCAAAAGAAGACACACACATGGCCAAGAAGCATATGAAAAAATGCTCAATATCACTATTCATTAGGTAAATGCAAATCAAAACCACATTGAGATACCATCTCACACCAGTCAAAATGGCTCGTATTAAAAAGTCAAAAAGAAGAGATGCTGGTGAGGTTGTGAAGAAAAGTGAATGCTTACGCACGGCTGGTAGGAATGTAAATTAGTTCAGTTGCTGTGGAAAGCAGTGTGGCGATTTCTCAAAGAACTTTAAACAGAATTACCATTCGACCCAGCAATCTCATTATTGGGTATATACCCAAAGGAATATAAATCATTCTACTATAAAGACACATGCATTTGTACATTCATTGCAGCCCTATTCACAGTAGCAAAGACATGGAATCAACCTAGATGTCCATCAACAGAGGACTGGATAAAGAAAGTGTGGTATATATACACCATGGAATACTACACAGCCATTTAATAAAGAATAAAATCATGTCCTTTGCTGTAATACGGATGGAGCTGGAGGTCATTATCCTAAGCGAATTAACGCAGGGACATAAAACCAAATACCACATGTTCCCAGTTACAAGTGGGAGCTAAATATTGAGTACACGTGAACACAAAGAAGATAATAATAGACACCAGGGCCTACTTGAGGGTGGAGGGTGGGAGAAGGGTGAGGATTGAAAAAACTACCTATTGGGTATTATGCTGATTACCTGGGTGACAAAATTATCTGTACACCAAACCCCCATGATACACAAGTTACTCATGTAACAAACCTGCACATGTACCCCTTGAACCTAAAATAAAAGTGGGAACGAAAAGTAATGGCAAGTAAGCATATAAAAATGTTCAATTCTACTATAATGTATATAATAACAAAAATATAATCAGTTTGCCTACACATTTAGAAAATGTGAAGAAAAGTTATTTTCTGTATTGGGGGGCTCACAAAACACTGTAAATTGGTATGAATGAATGAATGAATAACTGAACAAACTTATTCAAGCTTTCCAAAAGCTTTTGGCAATATATGTCAATAATCTTTAAAAAGTTTTAACCCTTTGTCCCAGTTATTCAGTTTCTAGGAATCTATGCCAAAGACATAATCTGAGATGCAAATGGGATATTCATCACAGTTTTATTAATATTTTTAATGTTAAAAGTTAAAAATAAACTGTAAATCACAAAATAGTCTATAAGTTATGATACATATATAAGGCGGAATATTTTGTAAACAATATAAATGGCATATAAAAAGAATTTCTAGTGTGAAAAAACCTTATGTTTTTTGAAACAATGTTTAACTTTTAGAAAAGTAGCAATAGTACACAGAACACCCATAAACCATTTATCCACATTTAAATTTTTTAACGTTTTATCTTTATTATTCTGCGTGTGTAAAATATGTTTTTTTTCCCACCAGAACCATTTGAGAATAGGTTGCATTTATCATGCCTCATCACCCCTTAATATTCATTGTGCCTTTTCTAGACCGGAAACATTTTCTTATATAACCACAGTACAGTTATCAAATTCAGGAAATTTAACATTGGTACAATACTTCACAGTCCATGTTTCAATGTTGTCAATTTTCTCAGTAATGTCCTTTATAGCAGGTTCCCATCCCCACCTCCAACCCCTGAGTCATTAGTCCAGTCTGTAACATTTAACAACATGTCTCTCTAGAATTTTTAATCTGGAAGAGTTCTTCAGCCTTTCTTTGTTACAACATAATATATCTGAGGAATACAGTAAATTATTTTACTGAATGTTATTCAATTTGTGTTTATCCAATGTTTCCTCATGATCAAATTCAGATTATGCATTTTTGGCTGAAATATCACATTAGTGATGGTATATTCTCGGGAAAATTTCCATTATTACTGACATTAATTTTGATTATTTGGTTGAAGAGTTGTCTAGTTTTTCTACCATATTTACTTTCTTTTCTTATGAAGTTAAATCATTTGCGGTGAGATATTTTGAAATGCTGTAAGTATCCTGTTTATCATCAAACCTTTATGCTTAGATTTAGGATCCATTGATGTTTGCCTGGATCACTTTTTACTCCTATAGTTGCAAACTGTGATTTTTCTAACTTAATCATTCTTTCTATATTTATTACAGTTAGCCTTTAACTGTAATAAAGATCTTTCTTTTTCCCTTATCTATTCTCTGTCTCTCTCTTTCTCTCTCTCTCTCTTTCTCTTTCTGTCTGTCTTCAGTTTGAACTCATAGATTCTTATTTTTTCAACGGATTATAATCTATTAGTGTCTTTATTTATTTATTTTGAGATGGAGTCTTGTTGTTGTCCAGGTTGGACGGCAGTGGTGTGATCTCGGCTTACTGCAACCTTTGCCTCCCGGGTTCAAGCGGTTTCCATGCCTCAGCTTCCCACGCTTACTGGCACGTGACATGACACCCAGCTAATTTTGTATTTTTAGTAGAGATGGGATTTCACTATGTTAGCCAGGCTGGTCTCAAACTCCTGATCTCAGGTGATCTGCCCACCTCGGCTTCCCAAAGTGCTGGGATTACAGGCGTGAGCCACCACATCAGGCCTATTTTGATGCTTAAGGTGACTCCTGTGTCTTCTTGACATGCCCTGCAACTGTTTTTAGTATTTTCTTAATTTATGGCACAATGAGATGCTCTAGGTTTATCTTATACCTTCTCTGTACCAACCTCAGAACTGGCCATTTCTTCATGGAGCCCTGGCTCCTTTTGGAAGGTAATGGTATTTAGAAATCAATATCTGGGTGCTAAATATGTTCATCACTGTTGGGATAGCATTGCTTCTAAGCTTTTTCAACAAGCAGAAATATATTAGATGCTTTGTATTTTGCATATGTTGGAAATCTCAGCTCTAATGTATATATTTTAGAAACTACGAGTTTATAGTAAAATCTTCTACTCCTTTTAGCCCCAAAGTGTTGTCCTTTGCCTTTCCCCAGTCCATTCTTGTATCTCCCTTCTACAACTAGAGCTTTGGCTTCCAACATCAATCCATTTATTCATTTGTTAAAATATACAATACATGCAAAAGTTTGAGATTTGTTATGCCCATATGATGATGAAAAACAAACCTACTAAAAAGAATTTAATATTAGGCCATTCTTCTTTTTCTTCATACTGAGGGTATATGTACTAGTTTTCTAATGCTACATAACAAATTATTACACACTTAGCAACTAAAAACATCCATTTATTACATCACAGTTCTCCAGGATAGAAGTCTGAGCACAAAGCACCTGGGTTCTCTTTCATGGTCTTGCAAAGTTGAAATCAAGATGTCATCCATGTTGTGGTTCTCACGCGGAGTTTGGGATCCTCTTTCAAGTATGTTCAGGGTGTTGACTGAATTCAGTTCCATGCAGTTGTAGGCACAAAGACATACTTTCTTGTTGGTTGTCAGCCGGGGGCTATCTTCCACTCCCTTAAAAGCCACCTGCTAGTCCCTGCTACATTGTCAGTTTGCTCTTTCAAGGTCAGCAGGAGACTCCTGCAGTGGGGTAGTCTGGGCTATCTGCTCTGATGAAATTTTAAGCAACATAACATAATAATGGGAATGAGTATCTCATCACTTTGCTCACATGGAGAAACTATCCCATCATATTCACTAATTCCTACAATACTCAAAGGGAGGGGATTTTATAGGGTTTATACACCAGGCGGTGGGAATCTTGGGAGCTGCCATGGCTTGAATGTTCCTTCCAAAACTCATGTTGAAATGTAATTCCCAGTGCAACAGTGTTAGGAGATAGGGCTGAATGGGAGATATTTAGGTCATAAGGGCTCCACCCTCATGAACTGATTGTCATTATCACACGAGTAGGTTAGTTATCTCAGGAGTGGGTTGTTATAAAGCAGGCACAGTGCCTTGTGCTTTTCTCTTTTGCATGTGCCCCACTCTTCTTCCATGGGATGAGGCAGCCTAAAGCCCTCACCATATGCCAGCCCCTTGATATTGGACTTCCAAATCTCCAGAACCATGAACTAAATAAATTATAAATTATAAATTATAAAATAAATTATAAATTCATCATAAATTACCCGGTCTGCAGTATTCTGTTACAGCTACAGAAGACGGACTGAGAGAGAAAGTTGCTACTGAGAAGTGGGGTTGTTGCTATGACCGATACCTAAAATGTGGAAGCAGCTTTATAACTGGATAATGGATAGAGGTTAAAAGAGTTTGAAGGAACAGGCTAGAAAAAGCCTGCATTGCCAAAAATTGAGCATTAAAATTGATTCTAGTGAGGGCTAAGAAGAAAAGACTACAGAAAGTCTGGAACTTCTTAGAGATTAGTCAATGGTCATAACTAGAATGTTGACAGGAATATAGACAGTAAAGGACATTCTGAAAAGGTCTCAAATGGAAATGAGGAATAAGGTATTGAAAATTAGAGTAAAGGCCATTCTGGTTATAAAGTAGCAAATAACATGGTTGAACTGCGTCCATGCCTGAGGACTTTATGGAAGGTAGAATTTAAGAGGGACAAACTAGGATATCTAACAGAATATCTAAACAGTAAAGCATTCAGATTACTGCATGACTATTTTTAACTGCTTATAGTGAGATGCTAGAGGAGAGAAATTATTTAAGATGAAATTTATAATTAAAAGGAAAGAAAGCAGAAAGATTTGCAAAATTTGCAGCCTGGTCATGTAAAGGATGAAAAAGCATGTAAGGGCGCAGCCAAGTCACCCTTTAACAAAAAGATAAGCATGTACTGAAGGAAGCCAGAGGCTATTCATCAGGACGATGAAAGCAAGACTTCTAAGACATTTCAGAGCTCTTTGAGGCTGCCCCTCCTATCATAAGTCCAGAGCTCAATGAGGGCAGAATGATTTTGGGAGACTGGCCTAAGACACCATCTATGGGCTCACTGCCCAGGACCACCTCAGGTCTCTGCTCTCTGCATTCCAGCACAGTGCTCCTCAGTTATACCAGTTGTGGCTCAACCTGCTGCTCTGGAAGGTGCAAGTGATAACTCTTGGTGTATCCATGTGGTAAATCTGCAGACATGCAGCATGCAAGGGCTGTGGGGATGTGGCTTCCCCTGCCTAGAGTTTGAAGGATGTTGCTGACAATGAAAATGAGCGGTCACAGCTGAAACTGCCACAGACAGCCCCCACTAAGGCAGTGCTTAATGGAGCCAAGGGAGCAGGACCGCCACAGAGACCCCAGAACATAAAGTTACCAGCATTCAACTCCAGCCTAAGAGAGCTGCAGGCATAAGACTCCAACCCATGAAAGCTGCTTGGTGGACTGAGCCCAGGAAAACCACAGGGACAGGACTGCCCAAGGCCTTGGAGGCCCATTCCTAGGCCCAGTATGCACAGGATGCAGGACATGGAAACAAAGATAATTCTGAAGCTTTAAAATTTAAATGATGTTTTCCCTGTTGAGTTTTGAATCTGTACTTAAGGCCTGTTACTCCTTTCTTCTTCCCTATTTCTCCCTTTTGGTACGGGAATGGCAGTCCCATGCCTGTCTCACCACTGTATTTTGGAAGTCTATAATTTGTTTTGAGTTCACAGGCTTGTACCAGGAGATAAATTTGCCTCAAGGTGAATCATCCCTTGAGCCTCACCCATATCTAATTTAGATGAGACTCTAGACTTTGGATCTTTGAGGTGATTCTGGAACAAGCTAAGACTCTGGGGGCTAATGGGATAGAATAAATGCGTTATGTTTGTGAGAAGGACATGAATTTGGGGGGCCAGGGGTGAGACACTATGGTTTGAATGTGTCTCCTCCAAAAGTCATGTTGAAGCATAATCCCCAATGACAATATTGAGAGGTGGGGCTGAATGGGAGGTTTTAAGGTCATGAGGGCTGTGCCCTCTTGAATGGATTAATGGCACTATCTCAGGAGTAGGTTAGTTATCTCGGGAAGTGGTTGTTACAAAGTTAGCAGGCTCTTCAACTCCTTGAGCTTTTCTCTTTTACATGCCATTACTTTTCCTGCAACCCAAAGGCCTTTACCAGATGCCATCCCGTGGATATTGGACTTACCAGCCTCCACACTGTGAGCTAAAGAAGTTTCTACATATTATAAATTTCCCTGTCTGTGGTTCTGTTACAGCAACAGAAAACAGAGCCAGGAACCATCCTAGAATGCTGCCTATCACAGTACATATTAAAATATGTTGTTCAAAAGCAACTTTGATTAGTTCCATTTTCATGAACAATCCTTTGAGTTAGGTTATGTTATTCATTTGAAATACAGTGGATTCCATTGTTTATGTTTGCATTCAGTTTTAGAGACTATTCCCCCATCTTTGTTTATTTTAAAAAACATACAGAACATTAGCATGCTTTCAAAATAAGAACTATACAAAACCATATACACAAAGAAGCGTTACTTTCTCCCCAATCTCTTCCATTGCATTTCCTCTACTCCAATGGGCAAACAATTTTATTTAGCTTATTTATCATTCCTGTTATTTTTGCAAAATTAATTGCAAACATGAATAAAGGATATTTTCTTATTTCCTCTTGCTTCTTGCAAAAAGGTAGCATACTATAGATACTGTTTTGTACTTAACATATCCTAGAAATCCATATAAATCTACAAGAGATATTCCTCTTTTTAAAAATATATAGATGCATGATACTGCATTATATGCTTGTATCATATTTTATTCAACTGTTTTTTATTTGTGTATTTAGGTGGTTTCCAATATTTTGCAATCACAAATAATGTTGCAAAGAATGGCCTTGTGCATATGTATTTTCATATCGCGGAGTACATCATCAGAGTAAATTCCTAGGAGTAAGATTGCTGAGTCAAAGGATAAAAGCATATGTAATATTGTTAGATATTGTCATATCCTCCTTCATGAGGATTGTACCATTTTGCATTCCCACCAACAATGTATAAGGGCTTTTGTTGCCTGTCAGTCTTGCCAACTTTTAAATTTTTGCAATCTAATAGGTTAGATGTAGTATCTTTGTCTTCTTTCAGTTTGCATTTCTTGTATTATTAATAAAACTGGTCATCTATTTATGTTTAATATAGATATGTGATCTGTTAATGTTCACTTTTTTCTAAAGGATTTTTGGTGTTTTTCTTTACAGTTCTTTATATATCAGATAAATTAGTACTTCGTGACATATGTTGCAAATAGTTATTCTCAATCTGTTGTTTGCCCTTTGACTTTGCTTGTGGTGGGGTTCTGAGGGGTTTTTGTTTGTTTGTTTGTTTGTTTGTTTTTGCAATGCAAAAGGTTTTGATTTTTATGTGGTGAAATTTATCAATTTTTAGAAATTGTATCTGAATTCTAAGTCATATTTAGGTAGCATTCCCTCCACTCAGGCTATAGAGAAAATCATCCCGATTTTCCTTTAGCATTGTTAGGTCAATATTTTAACATTTAGATTTCTGATTCATTTGGAGTTTATTCTTATGTATGGTATTGTTAAAAGAAAAACCTTAGCCAAATTAAATTTAACAGAGTTTAATTGAGCAAAGAACAATTCATGAATTGACAGATTCCAGGGCTAGAGTAAGCTCCGAGGGACTCCAGGGCAGCCACATGGTGGAATATTTATAGACAGAAGAAGGAAAGTGACATACAGAAAACAGAAGTGAGGTAAAGAAACAGCCAGATTGGTTACAGCTTGGCATTCGCCTTATTTGAATGTGGTTTGAACAGTTGGCCCCCTTAGGGTGGCCCAAACTCAGTGAGTGGCACAAGAGTAGGTTACAGCCTGTTTATACCTTTAAGTTACAGTTCACTACATACACAGAAATCTTTAGGCTGAACTGAAAATATGTAAGGAGGCAGCTTTAGGCTAACCTTGATTTAACAGTATGATGAATTGATCAAATTTTATCTTTAAAATAATTTTCAATTACATGGAGAAATGCACCTAGGAATGACAATTCAAAAAGAGGAAGATAAAAAATTGTTCAATATGATACCTACATTGGCAAAAAAAAAAAAAAAAAAAAAAGTCAAACTCTGTAAAATATTTTAAGATTTCAGAGGCTTATTCTGAGCCAAATATGAATGATCATGGCCTGAGGCACAGTCTCAAGAGGTCCTGAGAACATATACCCAAGGTGGTTTGGGTTACAGCTTGGTTTGATACATCATTCAATGCATGTGAGATATACATTGGTTTGGAACGGAAAGGTGAGACAATGCAAAGCGGGAAGGGGGTGGGGCTGAAGGTCAGAGGTGGATTCAAAGATTTTCTGATTGGCAATTGGTTGGAAGAGTTAGGTTACCATCTGAAGACGTGGAATCAATAGAAAAGAGTGTCTGGGTTAAAATAAGGGGTTGTGGAGACCAAGGGTCTTAAGAAGTCCTTAGGTGGCCACCCTTAGAGATAATAGATGGCAAATGTTTCCTATTCACACCTTTAAAAGGGGCTAGAATCTCGATTAATCTCTTCAGGATTTCAGGGCCTGGAAGGGAAAAGATCTAATTATGTTAATAGAGATTCTTTACAGATGCAAACTATCCCCCACAAAAGACGGCTTTGCAGAGCCATTTCAAAATATGGCAAAGAAATATATTTTGAGGTTTTTCAGTCTAGTTAAAAAAAAAGTGAGGTAAAATATTTTGATTTCCTTTTTAATCTATCATGTGATGTTATGCAGAGTCAGACTGGAAAGGAAGCCACATTGTGTAGGGTTAAATAAAACCCATCTGGTGAGATTTTTTTGGTTTTCAGGATGTGAGTTCCCAGGCCCTTAGATAGGAATTTGGGCAAGAGAGAAAAAAGATCAGAGTTTAGACCTCACCAACATGCATACATAGAAAACAGATTATCAATAGAAGGAAATGTACCAAACATCATAAATATTTATGTCTGCTTAATAATATTATAGGGAATTTAGTTTTTTCTTCAGTGTGCTTTTCATATTTTCTATAAGGAACTTGTATTACTTCATAATCAGGAAAAAGCAGTACATGTACTTTAATTTTTTTAAAAAAGATCAAGACTTGGCCCTGCTTTTTTTTCTTTGTAGTCGAGAAAAAGACTTAGAAAATACATGTTTAGTTGAAGTAAAATAAGAACAGGATCAATACATCCTTTTTCTCCCTCTTCTCTTTGCACATCCTCTCTCTGCCTCTTCTCATGGTTTTTCCTCTATCTTCTCACTCCCCATGTCTAACATAACAGTAAAATGCATGCAGAAAATGAGCAAGCCTTCTACAGCAGAATATTTTATTGCTGCAAAAGCTACTTGGGGTTAATTTGTTCATAAAACACCACTGTAAGTTATGACAAGAACTTAGAGACCACAATGCTAATGGATAATGTAAAGCCCTCTGGCATACCAAATACTCCTTCGCTCTTAGCTAACAGTCTTGAAACAAGCAACAGGAACCCTATTACAAGGCTTTCTCTGTGTTATCCTAGAGGGTGTAAAATTCCAGGTCCCTTCATTTTAGCAGCTGAGTGGTCAGGGGAGAATTATTGCTTCCTTTATTTTATGGCCCTAGTGAGTCTCCAGGATGTGCAACTGAAAAATCAATACCAGATGGCTCAGTAGGAGACAGGTCTAATGGTTCTGCGTTGTTCTCAATCTCCCCAAGAGGAAAGCTATACAGTGGGTTACTCAGGATTGTTATCTCCAGTGGTTAATAACATTCGTTCAGTGTTCACAGTGTGCTGAGGTCTGTCTTACATCGTCTCACGAAATCACCACTGCAACCCTGTAAGGTAGGTATGGTATTATGTCATATATATTATTTGTGTCATAGCTGAGGTATAAGTGACTTTCCCTAAATCAGACCCTGGAGGTGGCAGAATCAGAATTTGAACACATAATTTTTTCAGCACCAGTGTCAGTGCTTTGAAGTCTATTTTGATGCCATTGGGTGAAATGTTGGTACCAAGAAACAAGTAAGTTAACATCTCAGTGTATCAGTGAAATCTACGACATATCCAGACAGAACAAAGTCTCCTTTGAATATCTTTTCTAGCAGCCTTTCTCAATGGGAGTTTCACAAGAAAATTAAACTCTACCAAAAACTGATTTGAATATTATTTTCTCATTTCTTCCAAGGAGGATGGCACATAACTAATATTATAGATGCAAATGAGAGAAGTTAATTCATTGTATACAATAGATGCCTTAAGGCATCAGGGTTTATTTTTTTCTCTCTCTCTGTCTCTCTTCTATCTCTCAAGTATTTGCAAGGGTAACAAAGATACACTGCAATTATCAGCTGAATTTTCCCCAGTTCCATTAACAACACTTGAAGGAGGTCTTTTACTTAGGACTTTATATTGCCGACAAAAGGATAAATGCTATATTGAGTATTGTTACTCGCTACCAACCTAAGCAACCACTTATAACACAACAGACTACAAATAAGATATGGAGTGCTTCCGGTAGTCACTTTAATCCTTCATTGTTAAGGGATAGGCAAATTAAATTCTGAGCTGGGAGGACCAAAAGAGAAGTTCCTCACCTTGCCCTTTGCCCTATGTATATCGTTTTTTGGGGGTTATGTTTTGTTTCGTTTTGTTTTTGAGACAGGGTCTCACTTTATCACCCAGGCTGGATGGAGTGCAGTGGCCCCATTTTGAACACCTGGGCTCAAATGATCCTCCCACGTCAGCCTCTCAAGTAGCTGGGCCCACAGGCACACATCACCATGCTCAGCTAATTTTTGTACATTTGTAGAGATGGGGTTTCATCATGTTGTCCAGGCTTGTCTCAAACTCCTGGGTTTAAGCGATCCCCCCACCTCAGCCTCCCAAAGTGTTGGGATTACAGGTGTGAGCCACTGCACACACCAATCCTCTTTTTTTAATTTGTCTTATTCATCTTTGCTTGGTGATCCTTTTTGGAGTTCTGCACTCCCTATTGGAGGAGGATTTACACGTTACTACTTATATTAATACAATTACTCAGAGTTCAAACTTTAACTACAAAATCTCCATCAAAGCTAATTTATATCTCTGAAATGTATTGCTTCTGACTTGCTAGTCAAGAAATAATGGCACTTGGAGTAGTATGTTTGGATAGTGGTGCATACTCTGCAGTTTGTTTGGATAGCAGTGTGCATGTTCTGTAAATTCCAAATAACTAGGACTTCCTGTTCAATTTCTCTCCCTTTCTTTCTTACTGTCCCTTAATCTTGCTCTTTTGTTTTTCAAGAGATCAACGATCAGGTTAAGTGCGAGGTGAAAAGGTCTTTCCTTTTGATACTGATATTCCCATAACTTAATGAGTGTCGTTGTTCATGGTTAGATGTGACAATTTGGTTGCTTCATGCTGGCTTTCATTTCAGCAAATCTACCATAGATAGCTATCAATGATTGTTTGATGTTCCAGAAAATACCCTCATGCTAGATAGTTTGATGCCAAAGAATGTCTTTTTTTCAGTAAATATGAAATGTTTCAATAATATTTGCTCTCTGTAGAAAAGTAAAAAGTATAAATTTCATGAAGTGTTTTCAAGAAAGTTTATAGGATGTCTTATAGACTGTTAGTTGGCTTGCAGAGTCTAAATACCAGCAACATCAATGACAACATGAAAAGTGTCACAGAGCATGCCAAGCTCTCGTTTTTCATCTTTGGATACTTGATATAGTGGAATGATGCCAGAGTTCCTGAACTATTTCTTTGTCTCACCCTCTATTAAACCTCCAGTCACATGGGGCTTGTAATTAAGAGCATGGGCTTCAGACTCAGAGCACTCAAGCACAACTCCACCATTCCTAGGTAATAATACTGAGGCAGAAGAATAAGGTCTGGAAGCAGGGAACCTAAGGACTTCCTAGAACTAAATCAAACAGAAAAAACCCCAACCTTCTACACCCAAGTAAATAACTTTGTAACTTTACATCAGCTATGGCAGGAAACATCCTCTTCATTTGCATAGGTGTACACCAAGTAAATAATCTTGTAACTTCACTTCATCCTCTTCATTTACATAGGATGTTCACCAAGTAACCAGTGGGAAACCTCTAGAGGATAACAATATTTAAATCCTAGAAAGTTATGTAACTGGTGCTCTTGAGCCACTTGCTCTAGCCAACTCCCACTCTGTGGAGTGTACTTTAGTTTCAATAAATCTGTGCTTTTCAGGCCGGGTGTGGTGGCTCACACCTGCAATCCCAGCACTTTGGGAGGCCAAGGCAGGTGGATCACCTGAGGTCAGGAGTTTGAGACCAGCCTGACCAACATGGTGAAACCCTGTCTCTACTAAAAATACAAAAATTAGCTGGGTGTGGTGGTGAGCACCTGTAATCCCACCTACTTGGGAGGCTGAGGCAGGAGAATCACTTGAACCCGGGAGGCAGAGGTTGCAGTGAGCCGAGATTGCGCCATTGCATTCCAGCCTGGGCAACAGAACGAGACTCCATCTCAAAAAAAAAAAAAAAAAAAAATCTGTGCTTTTCTTTCATTGAAATCTGTGCTTTTCTTTCATTGCTATGTTTGTGCATTTTGTCCAATTCTTTGTTCAAAACACCAAGAACCTGGACACCCTCTGCCAGTAACAATACCCAGGTGTGCTGTGAGGGTAAAGGAAACAAGGGATCACTTAGCACAGTATATGGCACAAAGGCATACTAGTAATCATTCTAATTTTTTTTTACCATGATTGATATTTATTGAGTACACAATGAATGCCAAACATTATGCTAATAACTTGTATGGATCATCTAATTTACTCCTCACAACCACCGTAGAAAGAAGATACCATTATTATTTTCATTCCATAGGTGAGACAACTAAGATAAAGAAAAGTTAAGCAACTCGTCCAAAGTCACACTGCCTGTGGGAGTCTGGATTCCAAATCAGGCAATCTGACTACACTGCTCTATGCTGTTCTGCTAAATAAAAAACTCTTAGCAAAATATGATGTCACCCCTGTGATCCTTGCAACCAACTTAAAGCATTGGACATTTAAGCAGAAGTTCCTAATTTAAAGAACTAAACTCAGAAGCTTTTCATTGTTGCTCATTGTAAGAATTAAGTAGCTAAAGCATCGTCCATAATCAGTTGCCACTATCCTTGGGAAGGTAAAGCTTGAAAAAAAAATATTTTCCCACCAAGAACAACAATGAGATCATTATCTTTGAGATTAGGAAGTGTGAACTGCTTAAATCTTCATTCAAAGACTGTAATCTCTCTCCCAAATTTTCATCCTTCTTAGGATGGTTGTGAGGGCATTTTACACATCCTAATGGCATTGGGCACACAGGTCTATGGTTCTATGTGTGATCTTTTGTGCTTTAAAATGTTCCTGGGATTTGTTTTAATTAGGAATGGCAAGACATGCAGATGGAGAAATGACTGTTATGAACAGAGAAATGGCTGTCATGCAAGGCCACATGGGGAAGCACAAAAGTCAGTGAGGAGGCAAAGGGAGCAAGAGGAAAGCATGGGAAAGAGCCTTTATTGTGGTTTTCACAGGAAGGAAATGGTGAGGCAGGGTAAACAGGTTTAAGATTGGCTAGGGACTGCCCCTAGTTATCTGATACCTGGCCCTGGGATGAATAAGGCAGGGCTACAGTGGCTTGGCCCAGTAGAGGAGGTGGTTGAAGGTATGGGGCCTGGATTGGTTGATTTGCATTTGAAGAATGGACTCCTGGGCAAGTGTTTTCTATCTCTAAGATTTAGCTAACCCTGGGAAGAGCAGACTCTCCCCAGCAAGCAGGGTCCCAAGATGTCAAAGTATCATAACATACAGAAAATAAGAAAACATGATTAATATACTCTAGTTAAAGTGTCTTATCCCATTTGTCTCCAACATTGTCCTTGGTCCTTAACTATTTCTACTTTTAAAGTGTCTGGAACCCTTGCCACCTTGCTTGATACGAGCAAGGTGTTTGCTTCAGAAGAGCTCAGCTTTCTCCCTGGCTGACTAGGCCCCAATCTCTGCTATTCTTTATACTGATGATTCTTTAATTTTAACTACAACTGCTATGCAACCCAAGCTTATGCAGGTGGTTAACAAAGGGGTTGAGAGAAATGGCAATACGAAGGCAGCTTGTGTCCTTTTGGAATCACTGAGAAGTTTACCTTACAGAATATCTTACAGAATGCCAACAGCATTCAGTTGCAGTGGAGTCAAAATGGCAGCATGATGTATTTAGGCAGAGGGAGGGTCTGGGTCAGAAGCCCCAAATTTTCAGCAGCTCCTGTTTGACATTGAAGAGATGCAGAGGTTTACTAGCATCCGCTACGAGGGTGAGAGGAAAGAATGTTACTTGGGGTAGAAAAGAAGTATCAAGTGACTTTTTTTGCACGTAAGAGATGCAGCGTGTAAATTGTTAACTCCAATCTACAGAGAATATTTGGTAATAATAATTTTGAAAATAGTAACAAAATAGACAAACTTCTAGGTAGTCTGATCAAAATCAAAATGGAAAAAACAGCAATATAAGGAATTGTAAATACAATAGTTTTATAAAAATAATTTAAAATTATAGTTAATTTTATGCCAATAAATTTGAAAATTTCAGTGAAATGGTCAGTTTTCTAGAAAAAAAAGTTACCAAATAACTCTTCAAAAGTATCAGAAATATTCCTACCTCAGGGTTGTCTCAGGGTTGTTTAGCTTCTGTTTCCTTTGCCTGGTATATTCTTCACCCAGATAGCTGAAGAGCCAGGCTCCCTCACTTTCTACCGGCTTTTTTCAAATTTGCTTTTTTATGAGGACTTCTCTGGGCACTCAACTTAAATTTGAGCTCCTCTTAAAGAGTTTGTATTTCTTCTTTCTTGTTCTTTTCTTTAACAGTGATCACTGTCTAACATATTATATATGTTACTTATTAATCATAATTGTTAACTGATTCCTTCAATGTAATCGATGAAGGCAATGTTTTCTTAAAAATTTGTTTTAATTACTGCTGTACTTCTATTGCCTAAGTTCCTGTCACGTAAGAAGTACTCAATGAGTACTTACTAAATGAATGAATGAAAAAGTCCTGAAATTGCCATGTTGAATTAAATTTGTGTGTGACCAAATAGATTCATGCTATGAAGGCAAGGGTGATTTAAAAATCAGGAAAGCCTATAAAATTAATAATATTTACCATATTAAGAGATTGAGGCCAGGCGCAGTGGCTTACATTTGTAATCCCAGCACTTTGGGAGGCCGAGGTGGGCAGATGACGAGGTCAGGAGATCCAGACAATCCTGGCCAGCGTGGTGAAACCCTGTCTCTACTAAAAATCCAAAACACAAAATTAGCTGGGTGTGGTGGTGCGTGCCTGTAATCCCAGCTACTAGGGAGGCTGAGGCAGGAGAATCACTTGAACCCGGGAGGCAGAGATTGCAGTGAGCCAAGATCACACCATTGCACTCCAGCCTGACGACAGAGCAAGACTCAGTCTCAAAAAAAAAAAAAAAAAGAGAGAGAGATAGAGAGAGAGATTGATAGAGAAATGCCATATGCTCCTCTCAATAAAGCAGAAAAGCAGAAAAACCAACTCAAAAAATGTGTATAGACGGCAACTTCACCTACCTAATCAAATGAATCTACTAAGCAGTGACAGGAAGTGTTAGTCAAAATGGTGAAACTTCAGAAGTGTTTATATTAAAATAAGAAATAAAACATAGATACCCGCAATCATTTTACTTTCCAATATTGTACTGGCATTCCTAACCAAAGGAATAATAAGAGAAAAAAAGAGATATAAGGTATAAGGATTGAAAAGAAGAGAGGAAATTTTCATCAGTAGACTATATAATTGACTTCCTAGAAGAAATCTAAAAAGCCTTCAGATAACTTGTAAAATTAAGTGACTGCAGAAGATTACCAAATCTAAGATCAATTGTCAAAAAACAATGCCATACTTAACAGCAATAATTATTAGAAAATGTAACACAATTATTTAAAATATTGGTCACGACATTTATGGAGAATATTACAAAACTACATTAAAATGCATAAAATAAATAGAGTACAAATACAAAAATATAATTGGGATGCGTACACCAGATGATGCCAAACTTCAGGAAAAGGGAAAAGAATGGGCCTGGTTAAGAAAACACACAGTATTTTAAAAAGAAAAGAAAATCTGAAGAAAATAAAAGTCGTTTGTTCATTTTGGTGGTGAGCATTTATCACAGATATTCATTACATTTTCTGTATTTTGGGACCACCCCCTCCAAATATAAATAAATTAAGGGAGGGATCTCATTAATCTGAAAAAAGGATCTTGTGAAAAATATTAATATTAATATCTTCATTGATGACTCAATTACCATCTAATGTTCATAGCCATTTATCAATGTTTTCAGAAATACTACAATAGCCTTAAATCCTCTATTCAGAGCCTTTTTGGCATGATCCACTTCCTGGGTTGCAACAGAATTTTTGAGACTAGATGACAAAAATTGCTGCAATGATTTCTGGGCTTTATTCTCGTAGATTTGTCAGAGGTGTTTGAACACAGCAACTCCATCTTGAATAGGGGCTGGGTAAAATAAAGCTAAGACCTGCTGGTCCGCATTCCCAGGAGGTAAGGCATTCTAAGTCACAGAATGAGATAGGAGGTCAGCACAAGATACAGGTCATAAAGAGGTTGATAAAAGAGGGTGCTGATAAAAGAGGTTGTAGTAAAGAAGTTGGCTAAAACCCACCAAAGACGGTGATGAGAGTGGCCTCTGGTCGTCCTCACTGCTATACTCCCATCAGTGCCATGACAATTAGAAATGCCATGGCAACGTCAGGAAGTTACCCTACATGGTCTAAAAGGAGGAGGCATGAATAATCCAACCCTTGCTTAGCATATGGTCAAGAAATAATTATAAAAATGGGCAACCAGCAGCCTTTGGGTCTGCTCTGCCTATGGAGTAACCATTCCTTTATTCCTTCACTTTCCTAATAAACTTGCTTTCACTTTACTGTATGGACTTGCCCTGAATTCTTTCTCACACGAGATCCAAAACCCTCTCTTGGGGTCTGGATCGGGACTCCTTTCTAGTAACAGATTGAACATTATTCTCAAGTACTTATTTGTTTGTTTGTTTGTTTGTTTGTTTGTTTTCAGAATCTGCATCCTGGTCATTGAAGCTACATGTAGAACGTGAGAGTATTAAATAACTGAACAGCCTTGGCATGCCTAGGCAGATATCCCAAAACTTGTATTCTCTACCTTCTGCTGACCTATTTGGCAAGACATTTCTGCCCAACATTAAAGAAAATCTTTTATTGGAAATGACTCAAAATTCTATGGCACAGTGAGGCAGTCTTACATGTTTTCAGAATCTTGAGTTCTTTTTCCATTTTGAATCATGGGAAATTCTAGTGTATGGAGAGAGATTTTATGAGCTTGGTTATATTTTATGTAATTGTTCCAGAGAATATGCTTTGTGAGTTAATTTATGTGTTAATAACTACCACCCAAAGGGCAAATGATATACAAATTATTAAACGAGCCTATCTGCATATTCTCTTTTTTTGGACAATTACTTTTCCCAAATAACACCAATCAGACAGCTATAATTCGTTTTTGTCCTGCTAATAGAGATCTAGCAATCAGAGAAGTCATTATCTGAGGCTATAAGGAAGACTGTTTCTTAGAATGTCTTATAGTCATAGGTTTCATTTAAATAATAAGAAAATTACCAGTTTACTTCATGAGAGCAATATAAATGTTTTGACCTAATATGTGAACATTTTGGTTTACTTTTTTTCACTGATCTACTTTATAACAAGTCTCAATATGATGCTGCTTCTGTATATATAGGAGTTAGGCAAACTCAGATGAGACCATTAAAAAAAGAATATTCAAAATAGGTATCAAAGTGGGGAGGGGAATAAGCTCAGAGTATTTTTCTCTAACCCTTTTCTGAACAGTTTAACTCTGAAACACAGCCACTGTTCAGCAAAACTATAAGACAAACAAACTGATATGAATTTGGTGCCCTTCTACCTCTTTTTGTGCCTCCCTCCTTTCTCCTCTTCCATTGTAATTCATACTCCCATGGTGTGTAGCACTGCCTTTCATTGCATTCTGTAGATTTGGGCAGCACCCAGGGCATCAAAATGACACTTCCTACCTCCCCTCACATCAAAATCCTATTTCTGTAGTACTGCGCTCTGAGGCATTAGCTCTGGAATAAAGTAATTCCTCGCTAACTTGCTAATGATTAGTGATGACTCTATATGGGCCTCTACAGAGAGCAACTCTGTAGGAACTGTCTAGAGTTCCTCTAATTGTTGTATGGGCCTACTCACACATCCCATCTCTCCTGGTAATGCCGGCACCATTCAGAGACCCAAGAGACTGCAGGGTCATAGAGCAAATTCAGTGCCAAATTCAGCCATATTGACTTTGTCTTCTTGAGTATTTCAGAGGACATCGCAGTAAAATGATCACAGATAACTTATAATACTGGAAAAGCAATTTCTGTGATTCAAAGCCTGAAGAGCACTCAGGATTTCATAATAATTCTGTAAAGTCTACCAAGCCTTCAGAGGGGATTATCCTGGGATTTGGGGGAGGGAGACATAGTATAGTTAATGACAGCTCCAGGAAGTCACTTCTTTGCAAATAACATTAGACAAACCACTCTGATATTTTGTAAACATATATTTTGTAAACAAACTGCTATATGTAAACATATAGCAGTCAGAAAAAGTATGGGAAAACATTTTTAAAGTGAATATTGGAAAGTGAAATGGTTCTTGTTAAGTCTTAAAAACTTAGGAGGCATAGAATTCAGAATAAAGCCTAGATACCTAAAGTCTATTTGTTTTTTAAGCTTCGGTTAAAGACTTCGGAGCCTTTGAAAATTAAATCCAGAGCAAATCCAGTAGGAGGATTATATGGTAAATATACAGATGTTTGGAATGAGGGTGGGTTTTTTTGTTTGTTTGTTTTTGTCCTTAGAAATAATTATGTACATGAAAGAGGATTGACTAGTAAATGGACATAGATTGACTCTACTATTAAAACTATCCAGGGTCAGGCACGTTGGCTCACACCTGTAATCCCAGCACTTTGGCAGGCCGAGGTGGGCAGATCACCTGAGGTCAGGAGTTCAAGACCAGCCTGGCTAACCCCGTTTCTACTAAAAATACAAAAATTAGCTGGGCGTGGTTGCACTCACCTGTAGTCCCAGCTACTAGGGTAGCTGAGCCAAGAGAATTGCTTGAACTGAACTGGGGAGGCAGAGGTTGCAGTAAGCCAGGATCGCGCCACCGCACTCCAGCCTGGGCAACAAAGCAAGACTGCATCTCAAAAATAAATAATACATACATACATACATACATCTGAAATATTTTAGTTTCCTTCTGTAATGTGTGTAGGTGTGTGTGTGCCTAATGAAATCTAATGAACTATGAAGTGAATAGGAATTTTAAAAGCCTAAGTGACTTTAGTTTCCTCTGTTAGAAAGTCATAATCACCTAATTTATACTGCAACCTTTTATTCTATGATGTGAGTAAGTAAACATTGAACAGAAACTACTATTAGGGAACAATGTTTTCCTTTTTTTTTTTTTTTGAGACGGAGTCTCGAGGGAGCAATGTTTTCTACAGTTCCTTTTGAGAAAAGAGGAAATAGACTGTGAAGAGGATCAGAACATGTCACCCCAAAATATACCACTTTGGCACTTTGGCATATTTATTATTTTGAGCTGAAAGCCATTGAGAAACAGCAGCAGGGAGGAGTCTCTGTCTTTCCCCTTTCTACCTTAAGGCAAGGCATACATTTCCCATGAGAAAGGTGACCTCCTATAGGAGGAGGAGAACATTCTTATCACCAAAGGCAAGCCTTACTATGAATAAAATAGTTCCTATCATCCATTAGTTTCCCCATATATTTTCTAGTTACTTTCCCACACTTCCCCACCCTTAGCCCAAACCTCTTTTTCCTTTGCTTTGTCATGTCTCCATTATTTATTGCTCTTTGTGAGAATGATATAGAAGACCCTGGGCCTAACGGCTTCCTTAGAATTTTCACTTCTTTCTATGAAGCCCCCAGCACCACATAAAAATATTAACATCAAACAAAATCTGTATGCTTTTTCTCCTATTAATCTGCCTTTTGTCAGTCCAATTTACAGGTCACAGCAACAGAACCTAAGAGAATAGAGTAAAAGTCTTTCCTCCCCCACAACTACAAATATAAAAGGTTTAGATGTGAGCTTCAAGTTATCTCAGGAAATTTTTTCAAAAGGGACAAGTATTGACCCATATTTCTGTGCTCATAAAATTCTTTTTTTTTTTTTTTTTTTTTTTGAGATGGAGTCTCGCTCTGTCACCAGGCTGGAGTGCGGTGACAACTGCAAGCTCTGCCTCCATGGGTTCACGCCATTCTCCTGCCTCAGCCTCCCAAGTAGCTGGGACTGCAGGCGTGTGCCACCACACCCAGCTAAGTTTTGTATTTTTAGTAGAGACGGGGTTTCACCATGTTGGGCAGGATGGTCTCAATCTCCTAACCTTGTGATCCGCCCACCTCGGCCTCCCAAAGTGCTGGGATTACAGGTGTGAGCCACCGCGCACAGCCAAAATTCTTACCTTACTAAAAATTCTTAGCTTGTGAAGAAAACTAAGACCAACTAGCTTAAGAAAAAAATGTGTTGTCTCATATAATTGAAAAGCAAAGTTGGCTTTAGCCATAACTAGATCGGGGAGCTTAAAAACTGTCATTGGTACTTAATTTCTCCATCTTTCCAACTCATGGTTCTATCTTTTTCTTTGTTGATTGTGCTTCCAGGCAGACTTTCCCCTTATGATATCAAGATGGCTCACCAGCAGCTCCAAACTCACATCTCTGCCAGCATGACAACTCTAGAGGAAAAAGTAATTTTATTTTTCAATTGTCCCTATAAAACTCCAGGATTGAGTCTCATTAAACCAACATGTAACTAAAGATTAAACACTATACCATCATGGGATTAGCATGGTGACCAAGAGTATGGGGTACACTGAGTTGCTAAATCTAGTTATTTGCCATTCCTTGGAGCTAAGGGTGGGTCACCTCTACACTAACCACGTAGACTGAGGGTAAGAGGATAGTGGTTCCCCAAAGGAAAAAGAAAATGCTGCTATCAAAAGAAGAACAAGTAAATGCTGAATAGATAAAAACAACAGATGTTCACCACTTTCCCACATGCTGTGAGCTATGATCATGCAACTGCACTCCAGCCTGGGGGACAGAGTGAGACCCTAGTCAATAAATAATAAATAAACTTATTATTTATTTATATATATATTTATATATTTATTTATTTATTTATTTATTTATTTATATGGAGAGGCAAGTTTATGTGGAGAGGCAAAAGACCCAGAATAGCCAACATAATATTGAAGGAGAAGAACAAAGCCAACTGACACTACCCAACTTCTTAACATACTATAAAGCTACAATAATCAAGACAATGTGGTATTGGCAAAAGAATAGACAAGTTGATCAATGGAACAGAGGAGAAAGCCCAGAAATAGACCTACTTAAATATAGTCAACTGATCTTTGACAGAAGAGCAAAGGCAACACATTGAAGAAAAGATAATCTTTTCAACAAGTGGTGCTGAAAAAAATTGGACCTTCACATTAAAAAAAAAAATGAAACTAGATGCGGACTTGGCACATTTCAAAAAAATTAACTCAAAATAGATCACAGGCCTAAAAGTAAAATGTAAAACTCCTAGAGGATAACAGGTGAATATCTAGATGATTTTGAGTTTGGCAATGACTTTTTAGATATGACACCAAAGGCCTGATTCATGAAAGAAGGATTGATAAACTGGAGGTCATTAAAATTAAAATTTTATTTCCCACACTATTATCCCCCATACTCAGAGATTATATACCATAGTGACAGGGGGCACATATGTTTGAGACAGGATGGGTAGGCATTTGCTCTAAGGTCAGGACATGCAGTCAACCTAGGTGCTCATCAACAGTGGATTGGATAAAGAAAATGTGATACATATGCACCATGGAATACTACGCAGCCATAAAAAATGAAATCATGTTCTTTGCAGCAACATGGATGCAGTTGGAGGCCATTATCCTCAGATAATTAACACAGAAACAGAGAACCAAATATCACATGTTTTCACTTATAAGTGGGAGCTAAACACTGGGTACGCATGGACACAAAGGTGGGAATGAAAGACACTGGGGATTCCAAAAGTGGGGAAGAATTGAAAAACTACCTATTGGGTACTATATTCACTACTTGGGTGATGGGATCAATAGAAGTTCAAACCTCAGCATCATGCAATATACCCATGTAACAAACCTGCACATATAATCCTTAAATTTCAAATAAATAAAATAAATCAATAATAATTTAATAATTATTAATAATAAATAAAATAAAATCCTTAAATTTCAAATAAATAAAAGAGTCTATTTAAACATTAAAAGAATAAGACACAGACTGGTAGAAAATATTCACTATACAGCAGGGCACGGTGGCTCACACCTGTAATCCCAGCACTTTGGGAGGCTGAGGCGAGTGAATTACTTGAGGCCAGGAGTTTAAGATCAGCCTGGCCAACATGGCAAGGCAAAACCCTGTCTCTGCCCAAAATACAAAAATTAGCCAGGCATAGTGGCATGCCTGTAATTCCATCTACTCAAGTGGCTGAGTCACGAGAGTCATTTGAACCCTGGAGGCAGAGGTTGCAGTGAGCTGAGATCAAACCACTGCACTCTGCCTGGGTGACAGAGTGAGACTGCGTCAAAAAAAAATAATAAAAGAAAAGAAAGAAAGAAAAGAAAGATGACAAGGAAGGAAGGAAGGATGGAAGGAAGGGCGGAAGGAAGGAAACATTCACTATACCTAGACCAGACAAAAGACTTGTATCCAAAATATATAGAGAATTCTTACAACTAAAAAACACCGAGAAAAAAAAAAATTAATGGGCAAAAGTTGTAAATAGATACTTCAAAAAAATATATATTAACAACCAATGCACACACAAAAAGATCAAGATCTTCAACATCAGTCATCAGGGAAGTATAAACTGAAACCACAGTGAAATGCTACCCAATGCCTATTAGAATGGCTAAAATTAGAAATACTGATAATACAGCATGTTGACAAGAAAACAAAGCAACTGGAACACTCATATACTGTAATTTAAAATAGCAAACCACATTGGACAATTGGCAGTTTTTTATACTGTTAAACACATACTAACCATACAATCCAGTAATCCCACTTCTAGGTATTTACCCAAAGGAAATGAAAACATGTCCACACAAAGGATTGTATATGAATATGCATAGCAACTTTATCAGTAAAAGCCCACAACTAGAAAAGACCCAAATGCCTTATCGACTAGATAAACAAATTATTCTAAATCCATGCAATGGAATATTATTCAGCAATAAAAAGAAATAAGCTATGCAACAACACAGATGAATTTTAAAAACATATTGAGTAAAATAAACCAGACAAAAGATTACACACTATGTGCTTTCATAAATATAAAATTCTAAGGCAGGCAAAACTAATCTATAGTGACAGAAAGCAGACCAGCAGTTGCCTAAGGTCAGGGGTGAAGTATATCGAATGAGAAGGGACACAGGGTGATAGAAATATTCTGTATCTTATGTTACTGGTTACATAGGCATATTCATTTGTCAAAATGCTTTGAAGTGTATGCATATAGTTGTTGCATTTTAGCATATGTAAATTATTCCTCAGTAAAGTTTATTTTTAATTTTTTGGAAAATATTACCTTCAAAAAAATGAATTGTAACAGAATTGTGATTAAAGGCAGTATTATAAAAAACAATGAGTGAGTACTACGGATGTCTTATACTAAATTATGAAGTAGGTTAAACTTTTAAAATGCTCTTTAACATTTTCTATAATAGGTTCTTCTTTCTCCCAACCTCCAAAGGAAAGGAAGGAAATTGATATGCCAAAAACCATACAAAAGATAAATCCAGGAGTTGGTTATTTGAAAGATGTAATAAGATAAATAAAACGCTACCTAGACTAATAAAGAAAAAAAGAGAGATGGTTCAAATAAGCACAATCAGAAATGACAAAAGGGATGTTACCACTCACAACACAGAAATACAAAAAACCATCAGCAACTACTACTGTCAGGCCTCTGAGCCCAGGCCAGGCCATCGCATCCCCTGTGACTTGCACGTATACATCCAGATGGACTGAAGTAACTGAAGATCCACAAAAGAAGTAAAAACAGCCTTAAATGATGACACTCCACCATTGTGATTTGTTCCTGCCCCACCCTAACTGATCAATGTACTTTGTAATCTCCCCCACCCTTAAGAAGGTTCTTTGCAATTCTCCCCACCCTTGAGAATGTACTTTGTGAGATCCACCCCTGCCCACTAGAGAACAACCCCCTTTGACTGTAATTTTCCATTACCTTCCCAAATCCTATAAAATGGCCCCACCCCTATCTCCCTTCCTGACTCTCTTTTCGGACTCAGCCCGCCTGCACCCAGGTGAAATAAACAGCCATGTTGCACACACAAAGCCTGTTTGGTGGTCTCTTCACACGGACGCGTATGAAATTTGGTGCCATGACTCGGATCGGGGGACCTCCCTTGGGAGATCAATCCCCTGTCCTCCAGCTCTTTGCTCCGTGAGAAAGATCCACCTACGACCTCAGGTCCTCAGACCGACCAGCCCAAGAAACATCTCACCAATTTCAAATCCGGTAAGTGGCCTCTTTTTATTCTCTTCTCCAACCTCCCTCACTATCCCTTAACCTCTTTCTCCTTTCAATCTTGGCGCCACACTTCAATCTCTCACTTCTCTTAATTTCAATTCCTTTCATTTTCTGGTAGAGACAAAAGAGACATGTTTTATCCGTGAACCCAAAACTCCAGCGCCGGTCACGGACTGGGAAGGCAGCCTTCCCTTGGTGTTTAATCATTGCAGGGACGCCTCTCTGATTATACACTCACGTTTCAAGGGTGTCAGACCACGCAGGGACGCCTGCCTTGGTCCTTCAGCCTTAGCGACAAGTCCCGCTTTCCTGGGGCAGGGGCAAGTACCCCTCAACCCCTTCTCCTTCACCCTCAGCGGCAAGTCCCGCTTTCCTGGGGCAGGGGCAAGTACCCCTCAACCCCTTCTCCTTCACCCTCAGCGGCAAGTCCCGCTTTCCTGGGGCAGGGGCAAGTACCCCTCAACCCTTTCTCCTTCACCCTCAGCGGCAAGTCCCGCTTTCCTGGGGCAGGGGCATGTACCCCTCAACCCCTTCTCCTTCACCCTCAGCGGCAAGTCCCGCTTTCCTAGGGGGCAAGAAATCCCCAATCACTTATTTCCACACCCCAACCTCTTATCTCTGAGCCCCAATCCCTTATTTCCGCACCCTGACCTCTTATCTCTGTGCTGCAATCCCTTATTTCCGTGCCCCAACCCCTTCTCTGCTTTTCTGGAGGGCAAGAACCCCCCCGCCCCCATTCTCCGTATCTCTACTCTTTTTTCTGGGCTTGCCTCCTTCACTATGGGTAAGCTTCCACCTTCCATTCCTCCTTCTTCTCCCTTAGCCTGTGTTCTCAAAAACTTAAAACCTCTTCAACTCACACCTGACCTAAAACCTAAATGCCTTATTTTCTTCTGCAATGCCGCTTGACTCCAATACAAGCTCGACAGTAGTTCCAAATAGCCAGAAAATGGCACTTTCAATTTTTCCATCCTGCAAGATCTAAATAATTCTTGTCGTAAAATGGGCAAATGGTCTGAGGTGCCTGAAGTCCAGGCATTCCTTTACACATCAGTCCCTTCCTAGTCTCCGTGCCCAGTGCAACTCATCCCAAATCTTCTTTCTTTCCCTCCCGCCTGTCCCCTCAGTCCCAACCCCAAGCGTCGCTGAGTCTTTCTCATCTTCCTTTTCTACAGACCCATCTGACCTCTCCCATCCTCGCCAGCCCAAGCTAGGTCCCAATTCTTCCTCAGCCTCCGCTCCTGCACCCTGTAATCTTTTTATCGCCTCCCCTTCTCACACCTGGTCAGGCTTACAGTTTCATTCCGTGACTAGCCCTCCCCCACCTGCCCAGCAATTTACTCTTAAAAAGGTGGCTGGAGCCAAAGGCATAGTCAAGGTTAATGCTCCTTTTTCTTTATCCCAAATCAGAAGCGTTTAGGCTCTTTTTCATCAAATATAAAAACCCGGCCCAGTTCATGGCTTGTTCGGCAGCAACCCTGAGACGCTTTACAGCCCTAGACCCTAAAAGGTCAAAAGGCCATCTTATCCTCAATATACATTTTATTACCCAATCTGCTCCCAACATTAAATAAAACTCCAAAAAATTAAATTCCGGCCCTCAAACCCCACAACAGCATTTAATTAACCTCGCCTTCAAGGTGTACAATAATAGAAAAAAGTTGCAATTCCTTGCCTCCACTGTGAGACAAACCCCAGCCACATCTCCAGCACACAAGAACTTCCAAATGCCCGAACCGCAGCGGCCAGGCGTTCCTCCAGAACCTCCTCCCCCAGGAGCTTGCTACGCGTGCCGGAAATCTGGCCACTGGGCCAAGGAATGCCCGCAGCCCGGGATTCCTCCTAAGCCGCGTCCCATCTGTGTGGGACCCCACTGAAAATCAGACTGTTCAACTCACCTGGCAGCCACTCCCAGAGCCCCTGGAACTCTGGCCCAAGGCTCTCTGACTGACTCCTTCCCAGATCTTCTCGGCTTAGCGGCTGAAGACTGACACTGCCCGATCGCCTCGGAAGCCCCCTGGACCATCACGGACGCCGAGCTTCGGGTAACTCTCACAGTGGAAGGTAAGCCCGTCCCCTTCTTAATCAATACGGAGGCTACCCGCTCCACATTACCTTCTTTTCAAGGGCCTGTTTCCCTTGCCTCCATAACTGTTGTGGGTATTGACAGCCAGGCTTCTAAACCTCTTAAAACTCCCCAACTCTGGTGCCAACTTAGACAATACTCTTTTAAGCACTCCTTTTTAGTTATCCCCATCTGCCCAGTTCCCTTATTAGGCCGAGACACTTTAACTAAATTATCTGCTTCCCTGACTATTCCTGGGCTACAGCCACACCTCATTGCTGCCTTTTCCCCCAGTTCAAAGACTCCTTCACATCCTCCCCTTGTATCTCCCCACCTTAGCTCACAAGTATAAGATACCTCTACTCCCTCCTTGGCGACTGATCATGCACCCCTTACCATCTCACTAAAACCTAATCACCCTTACCCTGCTCAATGCCAATATCCCATCCCGCAGCACGCTTTAAAAAGATTAAAGCCTGTTATCACTCACCTGCTACAGCATGGCCTTTTAAAGCCTATAAACTCTCCTTACAATTCCCCCATTTTACCTGTCCTAAAACCAGACAAGCCTTACAAGTTAGTTCAGGATCTGCTCCTTATCAACCAAATTGTTTTGCCTATCCACCCCATGGTGCCAAACCCATATACTCTCCTATCCTCAATACCTCCCTCTACTACCCATTATTCTGTTCTGGATCTCAAACATGCTTTATTTACTATTCCTTTGCACCCTTCATCCCAGCCTCTCTTGCCTTCACTTAGACTGACCCTGACACCCATTAGGCTCAGCAAATTACCTGGGCTGTACTGCCGCAAGTCTTCACAGACAGCCCCTATTATTTCAGTCAAGCCCCAATTTCATCCTCATCTGTTACCTATCTCGGCATAATTCTCATAAAAACACACTTGCTCTCCCTGCTGATCGTGTCTGATTAATCTCCCAAACCTCAATCCCTTACAAAATAACAACTCCTTTCCTTCCTAGGCATGGTTAGCGCGGTCAGAATTCTTACACAAGAGCCAGGACCACACCGTGTAACCTTTCTGTCCAAACAACTTGACCTTACTGTTTTAGCCTAGCCCTCACGTCTGCGTGCAGCGGCTGCCACTGCTTTAATACTGTTAGAGGCCCTAAAAATCACAAACTATGCTCAACTCACTCTCTACAGCTCTCATAATTTCCAAAATCTATTTTCTTCCTCACACCTGACGCATATACTTTCTGCTCCCCGGCTCCTTCAGCTGTACTCACTCTTTGTTGAGTCTCCCGCAATTACCATTGTTCCTGGCCCGGACTTCAATCCGGCCTCCCACATTATTCCGGATACCACACCTGACCCTCATGACTGTATCTCTCTGATCCACCTGATATTCACCCCATTTCCCCATATTTCCTGCTTTCCTGTTCCTCACCCTGATCACGCTTGCCTCGTGCTATCCCCAAACTGCCATTCTTAACTCTTGAAGTAAATAAATAATCTTTGCTGGCAGGGCTATGCTGAATCTCCTTAGGCACTCTCTAATCAGATGTCCTGAGTCGTCTCAATTCTTAGACCTTTTATACCTGTTTTTCTCCTTCTCTTATTCCATTTAGTTTTTCAATTCATACAAAACCATATCCAGGCCATCACCAATAATTCTACACAACAAATGTTTCTTCTAACAACCCCACAATATCACCCCTTACCACAAGACCTCCCTTCAGCTTAATCTCTCCCACTCTAGGTTCCCACGCCGCCCCTAATCCCGCTTGAAGCAGCCCTGAGAAACATCGCCCATTCTCTCTCCTTACCACCCCCCAAAAATTTTCGCCGCTCCAACACTTCAACACTATTTTGTTTTATTTGTCTTATTAATATAAGAAGGCAGGAATGTGAGGCCTCTGAGCCCAGGCCAGGCCATCGCATCCCCTGTGACTTGCACGTATACATCCAGATGGACTGAAGTAACTGAAGATCCACAAAAGAAGTAAAAACAGCCTTAAATGATGACACTCCACCATTGTGATTTGTTCCTGCCCCACCCTAACTGATCAATGTACTTTGTAATCTCCCCCACCCTTAAGAAGGTACTTTGTAGTCTCCCCCACCCTTAAGAAGGTTCTTTGCAATTCTCCCCACCCTTGAGAATGTACTTTGTGAGATCCACCCCTGCCCACCAGAGAACAACCCCCTTTGACTGTAATTTTCCATTACCTTCCCAAATCCTATAAAATGGCCCCACCCCTATCTCCCTTCCTAACTCTCTTTTCGGACTCAGCCCACCTGCACCCAGGTGAAATAAACAGCCATGTTGCTCACACAAAGCCTGTTTGGTGGTCTCTTCACAGGGACGCGCATGAAAACTACAAACACCTCTGTGCAAACAAGCTAGAAAACCTTGAAGAAATGGACAAATTCATGGAAATATTCAGCATCCCAAGATTGAACCAGGTAGAAGTTGAATCCCTGAACAAACCAATAATAAGTTCCAAAATTGAATTCATAATGAAAAGCCTACACTTACTATTTTTTATTATTTTTATTCAATGATGGTGCTGAAACAATTACCTATACATACAGGGGGAAAAAGGAACTTTGACCCTGACCTTATCTACACAAGAATGAACTTGAAATACATGAACAATGTGTAAAGGTGAAACTATTAAAATTCTAAAAGAAAACAAAATATTTATGAGCTGAAAGTACATAAACATTTCTGTTTCACAGTGGGCAGGCCTATGCAAACCTATCCCAAAGTAAAAGGAAGCTGAGAGGCCAAAGAAAGAGACTGATGAATGCAGTTTCTCAGAAAGAAACGTTTAATAGGAACTTATGAACAGAATCCATGTTTGTTTCTCAGGCAGTGGCAAGACAAGATGGTGGATTCCTACACTATAGTTACAGTTTCGCCAATGTACCACAATGTAGCAATCTCTCATTGTCTGAGGTAGTACCCAGAGTCCTTTGTCTCATGACCAAGAAAGTTAAGGAATGCAGGTACCAAGGGTGAGGTTGGAGCAAAAGTTTAGTAAGTGAAAGAAGAAAGCTCTCTGCTGTGGACAGGGTACCTGGAAAAGTGTTGCCATTTTTGCAGTTGAATGTAAAGGCTTTTATAAGAAACCAATGAGGGCCGGGCATCTTATTTGCATAAGGGGTGGATTTCTGGTATTTCCACCCCATCCTCCTAACGAGCATGTGGGCCCTTAGCTTGAGTTACTCCATGTTGCTTTGTTCCCTTTACTGTGCATGTGCCAGGGGACAGAATTTTTCATTGCAGGCATGACTGGGCAAGTCCCCTGTATAGCCTTTCTTATCTGTGTGGCTGTGGGCATGTCTTAGGCAAGCCCCCCTGTGCAAGTTCCCTTATCTGTGCCTGCAGGCTGTTTTTTTGTCTGCAAGAATTCAATCAAGGACCCACCGTAACTGTCTGCCTGACCAGTTTCTTCCTTTCTCCTCTCTCACTATTGTCCCCCACACTCAGGAATTATATACCATAATGAAGGGGCACAGGTGCTTGGGTAGGAATTTCCCCCGGGGCAGGATTTATGGTAAGTACAAGTTTGTCAAGATTGATTTGCTCTACAAGCAGGATTTACATACAGTAAATGCATGATCTTAAACAAGGAACAATAGATAAACTAGAAATCTCAGAGGCATTCCTGGAACAAGGGTTGGTCAGAAGTCAACATGGCGGATTAGCTTTCAAGATGGTGTTGCTTTGGCCTCTGCAATTTCATAAACAGTAGAAAAATAACACTAATTATCAAAGAAAAAAATTCATAAATTAAACTTCATCAATATTAAAACCTTTTGCTCTTTAAAAGATTCCATTAAAAAATTAGACAACTGGAACAGAATAGAGAACCCTAAAATAAAGACACATACAACCAACTGATTTTCAACAAAGCCAATAAAAATAAACAATGAGAAAAGGATATTCAATAAATTGTGCTGGGAAAATTGGCTAACCATATGCAAATGAATGAAACTGGACCCCTACCTCTCACTATATACAACAATTAACTCAAGATGGATTAAATACTTAAATGTAAGACCTCAAACTATACAAATCCTAGAAGAGGCTGCGTGCCGTGTCTCATGCCTGCAATCCCAGTACTTTGGGAGGCCAAGGTGGGCGGGTCACCTAAGCTCAGGAGTTTGAGACCAGCCTGGGCAACATGGCAAAACCCTTCAATACAGCTGACAATAACAAGCAATGGGGAAAGAACTCCTTACTCAGTAAATGGTGCTGGGACAACTGGACAGTTACATGCAGAAGATTGAAACTGGACCCCTTACTTACACCATATACAAAAATCAACTCAAGATGGATTAAAGACTTAAATGTAAAACCTAAAACTACGAAAACTCTGGAAGATAGGAAATACCATTCCAGACATAGGACCTAGTAAAGATTCCATGATGAAGACTCCAAAAGCAATTGCAAAAAAACCAAAAATTGATAAATGGGACCTAATTAAACTAAAGAACATCTGCACAGCAAAAGAAACTATCAGCAGAGTAAACAGGCAGCCTACAGAGTGGGAGAAAATATTTGCATCCTACAAAGATCTAATATCCAGAATTTATAAGGAAATTAAGCAAATCAATAAGCAAAAAAACACAAACAAGCCGGGCGCGGTGGCTCACGCCCATAATCCCAGCACTTTGGGAGGCCGAGGCGGGGGATCATGTGGTCAGGAGATCGAGACCATCCTGGCTAACGTGGTGAAATCCCATCTGTACTAAAAATATAAAAAATTAGCCGGGCGTGGTGGCAGGCGCCTGTAGTTCCAGCTACTTGGGAGGCTGAGGCAGAAGAATGGCATGAACCTGGGAAGCGGAGGTTGCAGTGAGCCGAGATTGCGCCACTGCACTCCAGCCTGGGTGACAGAGCAAGACTCCATCTCAGAAAAAAAAAAACAACAAAAAAACCACAAACCAACATATTAAAAAGTGGGCAAAGGACATGAACAGACCCTTTTCAAAAGAAGACATGCATGTGGCCAAGAAGAATATGAAAAAAAAGGCTCAACATAGCTAATAATTAGAGAAATGCAAATCAAAACCACAAGGAGACATCATCTCACACCAGTAAGAATGGCTATCACTAAAAAGTCAGAAAATAACAGATGTTGGTGAGGTTGTAGAGAAACGGGAACACTTACACATGGCTGGTGGGAATGTAAATTAGTTTAGCCATTGTGGAAAGCAGTTTGGTGATTTCTCAAAGAACTTAAAAGAGAATTACCATTTGACCCAGCAATCTCATTATTGGGTATAAACCCATTCTACCATAAAGACACATGCATGTGTATGTTCATTGCAGCACTATTCACAATAGCAAAGACATGGAATCAATATAAATGCCCATCAACGGTAGACCGGATAAAGAAAATGTGGTACATAAACACCATGGAGTATTAGCCATAAAACAATGAGATCAGGTCCTTTGCAGCAACATGGATGGAGCTGGAAGCCATTATCCTAAGCAAACTAACACAAGAACAGAAAACCAAATATTGGCTGGGTGCGGTGGCTCACGCCTGTAATCCCAACACTTTGGGAGGCCGAGACAGATGGGATCACTTGAAGTCAGGAGTTCAAGATCAGTCTGGGGAACATGGTGAAGGTGAAACCCCATCTCCACTAAAAATACAAAAATTAGCCTGGCATGGTGGCAGGCACCTGTAATCCCAGCTACTCAGGAGGCTGAGGCATGGGAATTGCTTGAATGCGGGAGGTGGAGGTTGCATTGAGCTGAAATCGCACTATTGCACTTCAGCCTGGGCGACAGAATGAAACTCTGTCAAGAAAGAAAGAAAGAAAGAAAAGAAAGAAAGAGAAAGAAAGGAAGGAAGGAAGGAAGAAAAGAAAGAAAGGAAAGAAAGAAAGAAGAAAGAAAGAAAGAAAGAAAGAAAGAAAGAAAGAAAGAAAGAAAAGAAAGAAAGAAAGAAAGAAAGAAAGAAAGAAAGAAAGAAAGAAAGAAAGAAAGAAAGGAAAAGAAAGGAAAGGAAGGAAAGAAAACGAAGGAAAGAAAACCAAATGCTGAATGATCTCACTTATAAGTGGGAGCTAAACATTGAGTACATAAGAACACAAAGAAGGAAACAAACATTGAGCTGGGAGGAGGGTGGGAGGAGAGTGAGGACTGAAAAATGATCATGTACTATGCTGATTACCTGGATGATAAAATAAGCTGTGCACCAAACCCCTGTAACATGCAATTTACCTATATAACAAACCTGCATATGTACCCCTGAACATAAAAGAAAAGTTATTTAAAAAGAAAGAAAGAAAGCTGGGCCTTGTTTTCTTATATTCTCAGCTCCTGGCTAGAGTTCTTGCTACAGAATAAATCCAGGACCTACAACCATGATGTTGCTGCTTGCCTGAGTTTTACTATTCCCTGGCTTTGCACTCCCACTTCCTATCAGATAAAACTAACTTGAGTATTAATGACAGCTGGAAGCAAGCTTACTATACCTTTTGGACTTACCATATTAGACAGCTGACTAGTCTATAGGGACTCAGTTTGGTTAAAGTGAGGCAAAAAAAACAAAACAAAAAAACCCAAAACCTGGTGAATCCACTAATCCTATTACCAGCTTCTTTTTCCTACCAGTCTCTGCCACTAAGGTCTCAGCATGCTTTTCAATTACACTGCCTGAGTAATAACTAGAGCAGACAGAAAGCTTCAGGAAAGAACAGTTATGGGCAGAATGTCAATTTTTTGAGAAGGAATTGAGCAAAGTCGTAACTCTAGGACTAACTTGGCTTGTCACTAAGTTCATGACAGAAGAAACTAGATCTGTCTTGTACACCAAATATTTCCAATGCCTAGAAGAGATGTTAGCACTTATTAGGAGCCAGTTTGTTCCTAATTTGCCTATTGGACAAATGAACTACTACGCAAGGATATGAGTACAAAAAAGAGAGAAGCCTGGCTATGAAAACCAAGACTATAAATACACCAAATATTCCCTATCTGCCAATATCTCCTTATAAGAGAATCTGCCTATACTACTGAGTCTTGCCCCGTATCTATGCCCAGCAGCAGAATCAGATCCATAATTTATGGGGCCCTGTGTAAAGCGAAAATGCAGCGCCCCTTCTTCCAAAATTAAGAATTTCATTATAGTGACAGCTGAACATTAAACTGAGTGTGCAGATCTCTTCTGAGCCCAGGACCCTGGGCAACTGCACAGGTCACATGCCCGTGAAGCTGCCTGTCCAGCAGCCCTGTTTACATGAGTAATCCCTGATCCCCAGACCCAGCTAACCCGAGCAAGTTCAATTCGATTCTCTCTGAAGAACTGGATCTATGAGACAGAGAAACTTAGACAGGTATGGGCACTGAGCTCTAAGCTGATGTGGCTTTAGGGCTGGTGGCCATTTTCAACCATAAACACGCAGTTTTATAAGCAGAAAAAGCCAATCATGAGAAAAGTCGGAGAATGTAGCAGCTTTAGGTGAGATAATCAAGACACCACATGACCACAGAAGAGTGAGAGGCAGAGAGAGAAGCTGTCTGATAAGTTCTTGGGAGGCCCAATTGTGTAGACGATTTTCCTGTTCTCTTGAGGCCCAGCTGAACTTTTAGCAATCCTACTCATAATTTGATCTAACTGGAGTAGTGGTTACGGTGGGGGTTTTGCTGTTTTTGTTTTTGTTTTTTTCTTTCAACCTAAAGATCCCTGAAAAAGCCAGGAAGACATAATAAGCCAACACTGTGGCATCCTAAAGGTTTGGGTTGCAGTTTCTTAATCTCTTTTGCCTGTCTGCTGGTGGTAGAAACCTTAACAAGGCTAGCAACAGAGGTGGCAGTCAAGTGGTCCAGGTAGAGGGGAGAAGAAGGCTATAGAGTCTCAGAGAAAAATGGTTCAGTAGAAGCCCCTTAGCTGTTATGATATGGATTAATAGCTGGTCGAAATAGGGGATGAGGTAGGGAATCATAAAAACTAGGATATATGTTAAGTATTTTATAAATTTAAAGCACTGAGTGGATATTTTCCCACCAAATTTTGTAATATAGGGCCAAAGGCTTATTTTGTTAGTACATTAAATGGAGTTCAGAATAATTTTTCTTTCATCTTCCACCCATAACACAACATCTCTCACTTCCAGTTCTGATTTCTCTAAATTGTGTTAGGAATTTAAAGATTCATGCAAAATAAAATGAGTGTAAATTTTTCCCGAATTTTTATATTTACTCATCTTTTATAATTGTCTAATTAGCAACTAATTTTGACAGCCACTTTTTAGTTGCTTATTGAGTCTTTTCAACCATGTAACTTACTTTTTTAAGAAATACTTTACGTACAGTTAAAATTATCAATTTTAAGTGGATGACTCCATGAATGTTGACATATGCATACACCTATTTAACCACTATTCCAATCAAGGTAGAGAACATTTCCATCCCCCACCTAAGTTTCTCCTGCACCCTTGCACAGTCTCCTCTCTCATTACCCAGCACTTGGAAACTACTGATTGAAACTAGTGCTTTCTATAACTCTAGTTTTGTCTTTTCTATAATTTTATATAAATAGAAGAATATAGTCTTCTGGGTCCACTTTTTCACTTAGCATAATGCTTTTGAGATTATCTATGTTTTTGCATGTATCGGTAATTCATTCCTTTTTTATTAGAGTAATATTCTGGTGTATTAACTTAGAACAATTCTTTTATACACTCATTTGCTGATAGATGTTTAGATATTTTTCAGTTTTGGGCTACTACAAACAAAACTACTATGAACATTTATGGGTAAATCCTGGTATGGACTTTCATATTCTTAAAAGTAAAGTGGCTAGGTTGTATGACAGGTGTGTTTTTAACCTTTTAAGGAACTGCCAAAATATTTTTCAAAGTTGGTTGTGCCATTTTGCATTCCCGCCAGCAATGAACCAGCGTTTCAGTTGCTCTACATCCTCATCAATTCTTGCCAATGGTATCCTTTCTATTTTAGCAATTCTAGTGAATGTGTGATTGTATCTCATGTGGTTTTAATCTGCAGTTCCTTGATGACTAATGTTATGTATCTGTTTATATATATATTCTTTGACATCTGCATATACTCTTTGATCAAGTGGCCAAATCTTTTGACTTTTTTTGTTTGTTTTTGATGATGACAAGTTTCATGTGTTATTAGAAAAATGGGTTTAAATGGAGAGTAGACCTCTGAAAAAGACCACTTTTCCTTACTGGAAAGATTATTTGATTTAGTGCCACAGTTCCAGCTGTGGTTCTGCCACATACAGACTATGTAACTTTGAACAAGTTATGCAATCTCTTTCAGACACCATCTACAACATGGGGAAAATAATTATACCCTTCTCATTCAGTTATTTCAAGAATCAGACCAGACAGCTGATATACAACATCTAGCACTGACATTGAGGATGCATTCAGTAAACAATGGTGTTTGTAATTATGGTTATATGGTATTAAGATTGCATATTGCTTTTTCTCTCTTTCTTCCCTTCCTCTCTATTTCTCTTTGTTGTTGTTTTTGTTTATATGTGTGTGTGTGTGTGTGTGTGTGTATATATATATATATATATATATATATATTTTTTTTTTTTTTTTTTTTGGAGAGATGGCATCTCCCTATGTTGCCCAGGCTGGTCTTGAACTCCTGTGCTCAAGCAATCCCCCTCACCTCCGTCTCCCAAAGTGCTGGGATCACAGGTATGAGCCACCGTGCCCAGCCTCTGTTGTTTTTAATTGCAGAATGCACAAGTCATACAAAACCTTGTCTCCAGACAGCTCTGACTAGTGGCCCCACCTACTATTCCTTAGCAGATTGTAGTTGCAAACCCAATCTCCTACACAATCCTGTCTGGTGCAACTGGGATGAGAATTTCTCTCTCTGCCCTAGTCACAGACTAGCAAGTACAGCATGTGATTGGGTCGGAAGAAAAACCATCTGATAATTAGGCCCATTATCATTTTGAAGAATTTCTGGAAATTTTATAAGTGAAAATGGTGTTCGGAATATTTGCATTTGAAAGAACAATAAAATCTATACTTCGTAGATTGTATTTGCAAAAGCTAGTGACCTGTGACCTGAAAAAAAATTGCCAGCGGTTCAAAATTTTTTTCCTGGGGACCCAGCAAAGGCTGTAGGGTTAAGATCAAGGCTATACTTTTGGAGATTATTTCTTTTTTTCTTTTTTTTTTTTTTTTTTTTTTTTTGAGACGGAGTCTGGCTCTGTCGCCCAGGCTGGAGTGCAGTGGCGCGATCCCGGCTCACTGCAAGCTCCGCCTCCCGGGTTCAGGCCATTCTCCTGCCTCAGCCTCCCGAGTAGCTGGGACTACAGGCGCCTGCAACCACGCCTGGCTAATTTTTTGTATTTTTAGTAGAGACGGGATTTCACCGTGTTAGCCAGGACGGTCTCCGTCTCCTGACCTCGTGATCCGCCCGCCTCGGCCTCCCAAAGTGCTGGGATTACAGGCGTGAGCCACCGCGCCCGGCCACTTTTGGAGATTATTTCTATAGTTTACTACTAGAGAATAAATCTGACCGTATAGAGTATTGAATACTAGGAGGAGTCGTTTCTCTCCCTTTGCATGAGGTAAGAGGGAGGGAACAAAGTCTGAGTGCTGTTTTAATTTTGGCTTCCAAAGCTGACTTTTCTTGAATAGTGTTTTTTTCTATATCTTACTCTATTCGTCAAATATTTTTCAGTGTTTTCCAGTATTTGCCACTTTTTGGCTTTAAGGTAGTATATTGATTAAATGAGTAATTATATTTTTGGTTGTTATGAGTTTGTTTTTTTAAAAAATCAACTATTTACTTTGGGATAATTTATAGTTGCACAAAAGTTGTAAGATACTGCAGAGACCCTTCACCCAGTTTTAGTTTCCCTTACTGTTATACACATACATTATGATAGTACATTTGTAAGAAATGGACCTTAGTATATTACGATTAACTAAGGTCCAGACATTATTTGACTATCACCAGGTTTTCCATTAATTTTCCTTTTCTGTTCTAAGATCTCATCCAGGATACTTCATTGCATTTAGTTGTCATGGCTCCTTAGTCATCTCTGGTTTCTGACAGTTTCTTAGTCTTTAGTTGTTTTTCATAACCTATAAAGTTCTGAGGAGTACTAGTCAGGTATTTTGTATAATGTCCCTCAAATTGTGTTTGTCTGATGTTTTTCTTTTGGTTGGGCTGGGGTCATGGAGTTTTGAAATGAGTAACACAGAGATGAAGTGCCTTTTTCATTGCATTATATTAGGGGGCACATGATATTCACATGACATTACCCATGATGTTAATCTTCATCACTTGGTTAAGGTAGTGTTTATAGGCTTTTCCATTGTAAAGCTACTGTTTTCTCTTTCCATACTCTATTCCTTGGAGTGAATCACTAAGTCAAGCCCACACTCAGAAGGGAGGCATGGGAAGAACGAAGCTCCTCCCCTTGGAGAAGAGGGATCTACATATATTTTTTGGAATTCCGTAATAAAGATTTGTCTCTTTTCCTACATTATTTATTCAGTCATTGATTTATATCAGTATAGACACATGACTATTTTATCCTTTGGGTTATATGCCTTTACTATATTTATTTCATTGATCAAGTTGTTCCAACTTTAGACATCAGGTATTTCTTTAGTTTGACTCTTGTGTCCCTTATACAGGACCCTGCCCTTTTCTGGAGGGGTTAAGGAAGGAGCACTTCCCTACTTTCTGGCACTACAAGATGTTCCAAGCTCATCTTATATTTTCTGTGTCCCAGTACTAGAATCAGCCATTTCTCCAAGGAGCCCTGGTTCTTTGGAGAATAAGATTTAGAAACCAAGATTTGGACACTGGGACTACTTAATGTTACAGAAACATCATTACCTTTAAGACCTCTTAGCAGAGAGAGCTAGGTAATTATGTATACCAACTCACTGACATTCAGAGATCTCTCATTTCTGTATCTATCCATTTGTATATATAAGCCAATACATACTGATATCTCCAACAGTAATCCAGCACCACAGGGGTCATTCTAGACTTCTCTTCTTGCTGATTTGTAACTTTCCTCTCCAATAGTGGGAAACCAGGTCTTAACCATCCACCCTCCATTTACTAATTTGTTCAATGCTTTTGATTAATTTTTTAAAAATAGAGTTGCTTTTCTCATTGAGTTGTATGAGTTCTTTATTTATTCTCTATTATTGTGGGTATTTCTTATATCAGGTATATGTGTTGCAGATATTTTCTCTCAGTTCATGTCTTGCCTTTTCATTTTCTTTTGAATATTAAAAGTTTTTCACATTGATGAAGTCCAATTTATTGCTTTTTTTCTTTTATAGTTGTGCTTTTTGTGCCCCATCTAAGAAATTTTAGCTTATCCCAAGGTCTCAAAGATTGTCTCCTACATTTTAATCTACATATTTTAGAATTTTAGCTCTTACATTAGTTCTGGTTAATTTTTGTCTACTAGATTTTCATAAAACAATAACACTTTTATTTTTACATGTTTTTGTTTATATAATATTCAAACTACATTATTACAAGTACAACAGCTTAGGGAAGCACAACTGAATCTTAATAAATACTAACTAGACTGGCAGAGCAGACACGTAGCATATACTAGAGAATAGCCTCCCCAGCCTGGGTCTTCAGCACTGTGGGCCTTATGGGTAAGTTTACCAAGGTAATGAAGAGTTTGGTTAATCTGATGTGTAGATGAACAGAAAGTGGGTTTAAAAAAAAATCTACCAGATATAAAACAGTAAGCTGATAGATCAATTCTGTGCTTTCAAAACTAGCCCTAAATTATATCTTTCTTTTTGGCTGTCATAATTTCAGAAAAACTGATCAACCAGAAAAATGGTTTACAAACTGTTCTGCAGAGGTTTATGATTCCATTGCAGTTACATGTAGGGCAATAGTAACTACCATAGGTTCTTAGTTGGAACAGATCCCTGTTACAAAAGACAGATGAACAAGAAAAAGACAGAAGTTTACTAACATGTATATTTTTTATATTTACATGGGAGACATCCAGAAAATAAGTAGTTCTCCTAGAGGTGGCTTTGACTTCCAGTTTAAATAGCATCTTCAAGAAAGAAAAGTAAATTTTTAGAGACATGACAAGACAAAGGAAAAGGACTTTGAGTTTTTAGGTGCTAAAATTTGTGGAAAAGTAAATAATAGGTTGACAAATTCTAGTTAATAAAGCTTATAAATGTAGATTCCACTGGTACCTCTCTGGGATGACAAATTGTCTTCAGTGGTTAACAAAGTTTAAACCTTTGTTCTCCCTGGTAGAAGAGGGTTGGGGAAAGCATGGAGGGACTGGGGTGAGCCACAGGCCGAATATCTTTCTTTTGTCTTTGTAAATCTATGTCCTGCTTTTAGGCTTATAGAAGGAGGGCAGAGAGCTTTCCTGTATCCTCTTAATTGTCTTCAGCTCAACAGTCCTTTATATTTTGGGGTGGCATATTCTGGTCTCCCATATTAGAATGCTCAAGTGAAAGAAGTTGTTAGTTTTTTGTTTTGTTTTGTTTTCTATTTTGCATAGATTGCTTTTTCTTTAGGGGTTCTGTAGCTTATAAGAAAAGGAGTAAAGGTTGGAAATCATGATTGAACAGGTACTCACTCAGAGGAAATCAATCAGTTGTGGGTATGTTGGATAACAGGTATGAAAGACAGTGTTTGTTGCCTAACCAGAAGCCATTTCCTCCTCTTTCTTGCTAACCATACCTTGATTTCATACCAGTAGCAATGTACTCAATACAGTAGACACTAGCACAGCTGCTGCAGGTAGCCAGCTTCAGAGACCCAGTATTCAGCCCCCATCCTGCTTGATCCTACCTCAAGAAAATCTTCTGGTCTCAAGGCATTTCTCTAAGTTTTTACTTCTTGCTTATTTGGCCTTTGTGGCAGCCAAGGAAGGTTGACAGGTAAATGAGTAAAAGGTGACAAGGTATGTGACATTATACGGAGGCTCTGATTCAATTTAGTTCCTTAAGGCTGATTTATAAATAGCCTCACCAGGTTGATTAACATTAAACATTTCAAGGGAGAGCACTTTCTTCAGTTTCTTTAGAAGACAGCCTTATCAGCTGTAAAGTCAAGATGTAGCATACTTGTTTGGTTCCCCTAAGCAAAATTCTTTTCTGTAAAGATGAGGTTAGAATATGGTGTTCTCTCACTTTCAAAATATTTTTAAGCTTGAGCGATGATGTGTTATTGAAGAAAAACCTTCTTATTTGATCTGATTTAATTAAATCAGCAGTCTCATTCTATGGTTTAGATATGCATAATCTTAGAATATGATCATTTTGGCTTATAATTAATTTAGACTGTGTTGAGAACATCATTTTTGTTGTTAAAAGAACCTGCCTAATTTATTCTCTGAACTGATAAATTTAATTATCAGTTTCTTTAAATTTCCTTTGGAAGCATCCTTTCAAACATCACATCATAAAAGCCAGTACTGGTATTCTGACTAACCTAAAATGCAATGATCAGTAGGCACAAAATAAGAAACAGTTTAAAATGCTGTTCCAGATAAATTTGAGATATAAAAATGTAATAAAAAATGTAATGAAAGGGAAATACCTGCCTCAGCTCCATCATTGGGAGGCATGGCTGGAAAAGGAATCACAATGACACCAAATAAGAAATATGAAAGTCATTTACTCCAAACCGTAATTTCACAGAAGTGGAAATGGGCTCAGAAAGGCTGAGTGATTAACCTTAAATCACATGCCTTCTCTTTGGCAGGAGACTAAACCTAGGCATCCTAACTTCCAGTCTTATACTGTTTTTTCTTTAAATTACTTCAGTGGAGCTGATAACATCTGTTATGGCCATCTTTATAATGAATGTCAATGACCAGCCTAATTGGTCAGTCATCATTATTAAGGTGAGCAAAAAAATTATAGAGGTGAATACTTCCATCTCATTCACTTCTGATGAATGAACTTCAACCTTGTCACAACTGTTCTGGTTTTTAGGCTTGATTGTGTTAGCATAAGTCCATCAATCTTTCCAGTTTTCTCTTTCAATCCTAGGAGAAAAGACTTAATAGATATTAGCCTGGGCAACATAGCAAAATCCCATCTTTAGAAAAAAATTTAAAAATTAGCTTGGCATGGTGGCATGCACCTGTAGTCCCAGCTACTTAGGAGGCTGAGGCAGAAGGATTGCTTGAGCCCAGGAGGTCAAGGCTGCAGTGAGTTGTGTTTGTGTTACTGCACTCCAGCCGGGGTGACAAAATGAGACTCTGTCTCAAAAAAAAAAAAAAAAGAAAAAAAGATTAATAGATTTAATTTAAAGGCCAGGCGCGGGGGCTCACGCCTGTAATCCCAGCACTTTGGGAGGCCGAGGTGGGTGGATCATGACATCAGGAGTTCCAGACCAGCCTGGCCAACATAGTGAAATCTGCTCTCTACTAAAAATACAAAAATTAGCCAGTCGTAGTGGCAGGTGCCTGTAATCCCAGCTACTTGGGAGGCTGAGGCAGGAGAATCACTTGAATCTGGGAGGCAGAGGTTGCAGTAAGCCGAGATTGTGCCATTGCACTCCAGCCTGGGCAGCAGAGCGGACTCCATCTCAAAAAAAAAAAAAAAATAGATTTAATTTTAATTTAGTATGTAGAGTTGCGTAAGTGTAGGGATCAAGGGAAAACTTCTCCATTACCCTCTGAAGGTTCACTGAAAATCAACTGACAAAAGGCAGATTAATAGGAGAAAAGGCATACAAAATTTTATTTTAACATGCATAGCATGGGGGATTCACAGGAAAATGATTATCCAATAACCCAATGGGGGACAGAAGGTTATTTACCCTTTTTCATAGAGGAGACCTGGACCTGGGAGGCAGGAGGTGGAGCTGCACAGGAACAAAGTTTGTCTTATTATGCAAATAAAGTTATTCATGTAATCTCTTGGAGCTTCCTTTCAAAGAATAGATGAAAAGTCTTTAGCCAGGTGTGCTGGCAGTGAGCCTAGGAGTTTGAGCCTATAGTGTACTATGATGGTACCTATGAATGGTCCCTGTATTCCAGACTGGGCAACATAGCAAGACCACTTTTCCAAAAAAAAAAAAAAGTTTGTCTGGTGTGGTGATGACTCCCAGTCTCTCTAGATGTTAATATTTCCTGGTTATTTGATAAGATCCCATAAGATCCCTAGGGAGACCGTTTAAGACAATTGCTTTTTTTTTTTTTTTTTTTTTGGAAAGAAGCTTTTTTGGTCTGATAAGGAAATTTCATAGAGAGTCCCTCCCTGCACAGGCAGGGGCAGGGCTGTGGGGGAACAAGAAAAGGTTAGAGAGGCCATGATTCCAACGCAGCTTCTAAGGTCTCTCAGTATGTTAAAGTGTCAGTCTTTGGGTGTATTGCTTTTTGAGTCCCAACATAAGTTAATCAAAGAATGAAGAAATCTCACATTTGTAAAGCACCTCGCAGATGACAAAGTACCTCAAATATATCACAACACTATGAGATATTATTCTTGCTTTGCAGATAAAAGAATTGTTAAACTGACTTGCAAAGCCAGACTAGAAACCAGTTCTGTGTCCAAATCTAGTGCTCTTTCCACATTTTACCTTTTGCAAATCACTTAAGAAATGATTAATCTTCCATTTCTGAACCCCGAATATGTGAGACAGGTCTCAGTTAATTTAGAAAGTTTATTTTTTCAAGGTTGAGGACTCACGCCATAGGTAGATAAGAGACAAATGGTTGCATTCTTCTGGGTTTCTGATTAGCCTCTCCAAAGGAAGCAATCAGATATGCATTTATCTCAGTGAGCAAAGAGGTGACTTTGAATAGGATGGGAGGCAGGTTTGCCCTAACAGTTCCCAGCTTGACTTTCCCCTTTAGCTCAATGATTTGGGGGCCCCAATATTTGTTTTCCTTTCACACCCTATACTGGACATAATTAACTCATGTCCAGAAGGAAAATGTGTGAAGGCCAAATGTTTTTCTCATCTACTATTGTTCCAATACTTGAAAACAACAACAACAACAACAAACCTAAGCTAGGAAGATTTGAACATTTAAAAGCCAGATAATTCTTTTAGAAAAGGTTAAATTGTTAGGACACAGTGAGAGGTCTTGAGACTTTTGGAGGGACTTAAGAATTCAAGACCCTGTCAATGATTTGACTTGCCTACAGAAAGTAAACATAAAACACAAAGGGAACCCCTAGTTGCTTTTCAATAACATGGCAACTTCATGGTCCCCCTCCCACCCCCGCCTCTCTGCACACACCCTCTCTTGCCATTGCAGAAAGATAACTAATGGCTTATATACAAGAGATAGCAGTTAATATAAGACACATGATGTTATACAATAATTAGGCAAAATTAGAGTATTTACATTTCAACTACCTTGGTTCTTTATTTTTTACAAAAGTGAAAAATAGTGATGGGTTGATACAGCCCCCTGGTAAAGCTCAAGTTGTCACTTTCAACTTTTATGCAGGATACTTTGAGGTGGGAATTTTTAAAGGTGTTATTTTCACAGGACATTAGCATAATAAACACACATTACCTTCAGTCAATGAGCATCACCTTATGCAGAATTAATGGAATGTAGATATGTGAGAAGTGATCAGTAAGTGAATGTTTTGCTATCAGTCTTTATTCATTTCAAAAAGTTTCCTCATAATTCAAAACAATCTGAACTATCTGTCATTAGCTTCTAGTGTAAGAAATGGAGTAATCCATTAACGAGCTTTGTCAGATGGCAGTCCATATTCTTTTAAATCAGTGGAACACTATCTGGCATAGAACCCCAGGGTATATGATGCTGTTAGCAATTGGGTATCCATTCACCTTAGTGAATGGCAAATAACAAAGCCATGCAAACAGATATAAAATCCTGGCCAACTCAACTGTTCTTTTAAAAAATCTGTCTCAAAATACCCTGCAAAGTGTATACAGAATGATAAAAGAAGAATGAGGCAAAGGAGAATGATTAAAGGAGAATGAGGCAAAAGAGGATCCTTCTATATCCTTCAGATACAGAAGGATCTGTGATGATGTCAACTTCACTCAGTTGCAGCACTAAATTGGCCACTGCTTACTTAGTTTGTCTACTCTGGGCAGTAGGGTCCTGACTGAAAATGTTAATTGCATCCACCAAATTTGAGTATTTCACCTATAAAATTTTTGAGGATTATTTTGCATAAGCCCCAGTTTAAAACAATAAAACCTCCTCTGTGAAGATTTAACTAACATAAGTATACATAGCATTATAAGTCATAAGTATACATAGCATTATACATAAGTATACATAGCATTATAAGTATTAGGAATAAGTATTCATGGCAAATTGCAAGTGATATAGAAATAACAATGCTACTTCAATGGGTATTAATAAAAAATAAATCTGAGTAATGAGGATGGACTATTCTTGTTAAAGTATAATTTTCAAAAAGCAAAACCATGACTCTCAAGCATATATAAAATTATGGGAGAACCAGTAAGATGTTATGATAGGTTGAAAGAGAGTTAAGAAACTGGATTATTCATAGGACATTTAACAAACAAACGTTAGGATAAGATTGCTGGGTTAGATATAAACTGGTAATGACCAGTAGGCCATAAATCTCTATAGTCATCTGTTCCAGCAGAAATTACCACCATCTCTACCTGACAAAGTCTCTGAGTTAATGAGTGACTTACTAAGTCTGATCCTATAATTACAGTAGCACTGAGAAGAACAATCCTTGGGTGGCCTTTTCTACTGTTTCATATTGAAAGTCATGCTGTCACCATTTTGTTTTGTTTTTGTTTTTGCCTCATTTCCAAGTTTTTGGTAATTTTTCTGATGTGTCTTTTCATTAATTAGCTCCTACAGAATCATAATCTAAGTGGGTCCAAACCATTCCATAGATCAAAACTAATACTCAAATTGGACAAGAATTCTCATTCTCTCTGCCTGCTTTATTTAATAGTCATTAAAAGTATAACTTTCAAACCAAGCTACATGGATTTCATCAAACATACTTTCTATTGCCCTCAGTTTTCTGTTCTTATTTAATTTTGCACAAATGTGGATTTGCACTAAGGAAATATTGGAGATGTGCCCATTATATAAAAATATTCTTCATTACAGCTTCCTGAAAAATGTCTGACAGTGCTTTCTTTAATTGTGTTTAGGATAACCCTATAGCTCTCACTAGCTTTAGATAGTGCAGAGAAAAATGCATCTTTCAGACTAACATCTAATAGAAAGACTTTCTTCCATTACTCAAAACTCACATCCTCTGTGGTTATTTCTTGCCTTTTACTTTTACATGTTCCTATCTCTATCTATCTCCTTGCCTTTCTCTATATACAATCTGATAAAATTTGACTTTTCTTTTTTGTTTGTTTTTGTTTTTGTTTTTTTGAGATGGAGTCTCACTCTTGTCACCCAGGCTGGAGTGCAATGGCATGATCTCAGCTCACTGCAACCTCCGCCTCCCAGGTTCAAGCGATTCTCCTGCCTCAGCCTCCCGAGTAGCTGGGATTACAGGCATCTGCCACACACCCGGCTAATTTTTGTATTTTTGTAGAGACAGGGTTTCACCATGTTGGCCAGGCTGGTCTCGAACTCCTGACAGGTGATCCACCCGCCTCGGCCTCCCAAAGTGCTGGGATTACAGGCATGAGCCACTGCGCCTGGCCAAAATTTGACCACTTTTCTAGAATTCTGATGGTTACTGTTTTGTAGCCTCTGTATTTGTCCATTCTCACACCACTATAAAAATACTACCTGAGACTGGGTAATTTATAAACAAAAGAGGTTTAATTGACTCACAGTTCTGCATGGCTGGGAGGCCTCAGTGGAAACTTACAATCATGGCAGAAGGCGAAGGGGAAGCAAGGCACATCTTACATGGTGGCAAGAGAGAGAGCAAGGAGGTGCCACACTTTAAAACTGTCAGCTCTCATGAGAACAGATTCACTATTATGAGAACAGCCATGGGTTTCCCCCATGAAAGTGCCTATCCTAGTGTCCTAGGGAAGTTTATGCTAGCATTGATGTTGGCATTCACCTGCAAGTCAATTCTTGGGCCTTCCTGTTGCTTACTCAGATGCCAGTAGGGGCAGCAGTGGCTTGGGCAGGTGGGCATGTTCATGGGAGACCACCCCCATGATCCAGTCACCTCCCACCAGGTCAACTTGTGGGGATTACAATTTGAGATGAGATTTCAGTGGGGGCACAGAGCCAAACCATATCAACCTCTTACATATAAATCATTAAAAAATGGAAGACAAGGAGAGGCTTCAAGATGGCTGACTAGAAGCATTGCATGCCTACCTTCTCCACTTAGAAGAATCAAAATAGTGTATAGATAAGCGTACTTTGAATACATTACTCAAGAGAGAACACTGGAATTCAACAAAGAAGTGACAGGAAACACCAAAATCAAGGAAGAGGAAGCAAAAGAGGAAGCCAACTTGTCTGGGATCAGCTGGGAGCTTGGAATGACTTTCCAACATGGGGAGAGTGTGAGAGACTTCCAGTGGCCCACAGGCCCACCATAGAATCATACAGTCCTAGTCACAGGGGAGCCCATTGACACTCCCAAACCCTGAAACTAACACAGAGAGCTGCCAGGAGACCATGGGATGGAACAGCTATAGGGAGGGAGCTTGTGCTGGGTCCCACACCCTTTCTGAGACCTAAGCAGCTACAGGGCTAGAGCAAGGTGCCATTCTCAAACCTAGCCTTTGGAAGACTTCACACTGTCCTGGGGTCTGGTGGCACTGGATCTAAGTTATTAGGGAAACTCAGGCTGTCACTGCTGTGACTGGGGTGTGTACTGAGAGTTCTACATCCAGGACTGAGAAGCATGCAAGGAGTGAGCTGCAGCTGCTGGGGCTGGGAAGTGAATACTGCCAGGACTGAGAAGGGATGTGAACAGAGCACAGGTTGCCATTGGGACTGAGTTGCAAGCTGCATGGGGGCTCCTGCAGCCAGGGCTGGGACACAAGCTAGGTGTAGGCTATGGCCATCAAAGCTGGGGAACAAGCCTATGGGGACTGGGACATGAGAGGGACCTGCAGTCCCTAGCGAACAGGCAAGGCCATAGTTACTGAGGAATGCCCCACTGAGGCCCTGCCACTGAAGGCTGTTAAAGACCCTCAACTTAGCACTCCACCTGGGGCCTGAGAATTGTTCTGTTCCTGCTGACCATGGCTAGTGCTTGCTCAGCACTAGCTGAGCAAGTTCATTAGGGAACTTGAGCACAAGCCTACCCAGCAAGGCTTTATCTCTACCCCCTCTGAGAGAGATGGCATAGCACAGAGTCCTGGGGATGGTCCAACCCAATTCACCACATTGAGTACCTGAGTGCTCCAGGGGCTTGAATTTGGGCCTAAATTCCTGGCCAGAACCTCCTCAGCTGGCATCTACCTGCAAGCACCACCTGTGTGCCTGGAGACTGGCCCACCTAGCTCATCACAGCCACTTCCAACATCAGCACACACTGCTTGGGACCTAGAGATTTGTCCCACCACTGCTAATGCCATCACCAATCTCTCATACCAGCTTCCCAGGGGTCTGAGAACATGCCCATCTGCCCAGACCACTGTTGCTACTGCTGGCATCTAAGTAAGCCACAGGAAGGCCCAAGAATTGGTCTGCTGGTAACTGCCAACACCAGTGCTAGCATAAACTGCCCTAGGGCACAAGGATAGGTACTCTCAGCCCACCCCTGCCACCACTAGGGTCTGAAGACTGGCCCACCTGGCATCCTAGTCCCAGCACAACTTCACCACAAACTCCACTAAAAACTGCACCCTAACCTACCAAGGAAATCACAGATACCACTAACACTATAGCTAAAGAAATCATACAGAGACCACATTACTCCACACACCCAAAATCAAAGCCAAAGTGCCCTATCCAGCCAACACTACAGATACATCTATAGGAAAAATTTTCCCCTATAAAATTAATGTAAAAATAGGAAGAAGTGACTATTACACCAGATGTGCAGATGTCAATATAAGGACAAAGGAAACATGAAAAATCAAAGAAATGTGGCCTCCAAAGGAACACAGTAATTCTCCAGTAATATATCTTAATTTTAAAAAAAGGTCAAAATCCCAGATATACTTTGCAACTCTGATGTGCTAAAAAAAATCAAAATCCCAGATAAAGGATTCAAAATATTGATTTTAAAGAAACTCAGTGAGATACAAGAGAATTCTGAAAAATAATACAAAGAAATCAGAAAAATAATTCAGGATATGAATCAGAAATTTACCAAAGAGATACATTAAAAAAAAAAAGGTACTAAATAGAAATTCTGGAACTGAAGAATTCATTGTAGAAAATAAAAAATACATGTAAAAGCTTCAACAATAGACTAGATCAAGCAGAAGAAAAATTCTCAGAATTCAAAGACAAGTCTTTTGAAACAATTCAGCAGATAAAAACAAATAAAAAAGATTAAAAAGGCATGACCAAAGCCTTCGTGACATTTGGGACAACATAAGGTGGCAGAATATTTAAACTATTGGCATTCCCAAGGGTGAAGAAAATGTGAAAGGATTGGAAAACTTACATAACAAAATAATAGAAGGAAATTTCCTAAGTCTAGCAAGAGATTTAAACGTTCATATAAAGGAGGCTCAGTGAACCTCAGGCAGATACAATGCAAAAGGTCTTCTCCACAGTACCTTATAGTCAAGCTGTCTAAAGTCAAAGATAAGGAGTGACTCCTAAAATTAAGAGAAAAGAATCTAGTCACCTATAAGAGAAACCTCATCAAACTATGTGAATTATTCCAATGGCCAGGCGCGGTGGCTCACGCCTGTAATCCCAGCACTTTGGGAGGCCAAGGCAAGCAGATCACGAGGTCAGGAGTTCGAGGCCATCCTGGCAAACATGATGAAACCCTGTCTCTACTAAAAATACAAAAAGTTAGCCGGCCGTGGTGGCGGGCGCCTGTAGTCCCAGCTACTCGGGAGGCTGAGGCAGGAGAATGGCATGAACCCAGGAGGCGGAGCTTGCAGTGAGCCGAGATTGCGCCACTGCACTCCAGCCTGGGTAACAGAGCAAGACTCCATCTCAAAAAAAAAAAAAAAAAAAGAATTACTCCACAGAAACCTTACAGGCCAGAAGAGAATGGGATAATATATTCAAAGTGATTTTTTAAAAAAACTATCAGCCAAAAATACTATATCCGACCAACTTATTCTTTAAAAATGAAGGAGAAATAAAATCTTTCCAGAGAAGCAAATGCTGAGGAAATGATTACCACTAGACTTGTCCTACAATAAATGTTCAAGGGAATGCTGAACCTGGAAGTGAAAGAATGACATTTAATATCATGAAAACACATGAAAGTATAAAACTCACTGGTAAAGCAATTACACAAAGGAAGAAGAGAAAAGAGTCATGATATCACTCAGAAATCCACCAAAACACAATGACAAACAATAAGAGAAAAAGTAAAGAACAAAGAATATGTAAATCAACCAGAAAAAATTAACAATATGATAGGAACAAAGCCTCACATATCAATAATCTTGTACATAAACATATTAAATTATCCACTTAAGAGATATAGAATAGCTAAATGGATTTTAAAAATATTATTCAACTATACACTGCTTACGGGAAACTCATCTTACCAATAAAGACATGTATAGACTGAAAGTAGATGGATAGAAAAAGATTCTATGCAAACAGAAACCAAAAGTGAGCAGAAGTAGCTATACTTACATCACATAAAACAAACTTTCAGTCAAAAGCAGCAAAAAATAGAAAAATACAAAGAATGTCATTATATAATGACAAAAGGATCAATCCAGCAAGAGGATATAACACTTCTAAATATATATGCACCTAACACTTGTGCACCCACATTCATAAAGCAAATATTACTAGGTATAAAGAGAGAGAGATTACAAAACAATAATAGTGGAGGACTTTAACACCCATTCTCAGCAGTAGACAAATCACATAGACAGAAAATAAAAAAAGAAACATTGGATTTAAACTTCACTTTAGACCAAATGGATCTAACAGACATTTACAGAACATTCTATCCAACAGCTGCAGAATATACATTTTTTTCATCATCACATGAACATTCTTCAGGAGAGACCATATGTGAGGACAAAAAAGGAGTCTTAACAGGTTTTTTTAAATTGAAGTCATATTAAGTGTCTTCTAATACCATAACGGAGTAAAACTAGGAATCAATACCAAGCAGAACTTTGGAAACTATACAAAGACATGGAAATTAAACAATATGCTCCTATATGACCATAGGGTCGATGAAAAAATTAAAATGGAAACCAAAAATTTCTTAAAAGAAATGAAAATAGAAATACAACATACCAAAACTGTAGGATATGGCAAAAGCAGTGCTAAGAGAGAAGTTTATAGCAATAACCACCTACATCAAAAAGGTAGAAAGATTACAAATTAGGCTAGGCACAGTGGCTCATGCCTGTAATCCCAGCACTTTGGGAGGCTGAGGCAGTGGATCCCTTGAGGTCAGGAGTTTGAGACTAGTTTGGCCAACATTGCCAAACCCCATCTCTACTAAAACATACAAAAATTAGCCAGGCATGGTGCCATGCACCTGCAATCCCAGGTACTCCAGAGGCTGAGGCATGAGAATCGCTTGAACCCGGGAGGTGGAGGTTGTAGTACAGTGATCCGAGATTGTGCCACTGCACTCCACCCTTGGTGACAGAGTGAGACTCTGTCTCACACATACACACACACACACACACACACACGAAAGATTACAAATTAACAATAAAACAATTCACCTCAAGGAACTAGAAAAGCAAGAACAAACCAATCCTCAAATTAGCATAAGAAAAGAAATAATAAAGATCAATGTAGGAATGAATGAAATGGAGACTAAAAAAAACAATACAAATGATCAATGAAATGTAAAGTTGGTTTTTCAAAAAGATAAAAAAATTGATAAATTGCTAGCTGTACTAACCAAGAAAAGAGGAAAGAAGACCCAAATAAAATCAGAAATGAAAAAGGAGACATTACAAATGATACCACATAAATACAAAAGATCATCAGAGACTTATGAAAAACTATATACTGACAAACTGGAAAACACAGAGGAAATGGATAAATTCCTAGAAACATATGACCTGTCAAGATTGAATCAAGAAGAAATAGAAAACCTAAACAGACTAAAAATGAGTAGTGAGATTGAATCAGTAATTTTAAAAATTTCCCAAAAAAGAAAAGCCCTGTACCAGATGGATTTATAGTCGAATTACACCAAGTGTACAAAGAACTAATACCAATCCTTATGAAACTATTACAAAAAATCAAAAGGATGGAATATTTTCTAGTTCATTTGACAAGGCTAGCATCACCTGATACCAAAACCAGACAAGGACACAACAAAAAAAACAAGATCCTTGAAGAACATAGACACAAAATTCCTGAAAAAGCATTTAATAAAATTCAACATGTCTTCATGATAAAAACTCTCAAAAAACTAAGCATAGAAGGAATATACCTCAAATAATAAAGGCCATATATGACAAATCTACAACTAGCATCATACCGAATGGGGGAAAAGTCAAAAGTCTTTTCTCTAAGAATGTAAACAAGACAAAGATGTCCACTTTCACCACTCTTATTCAGCATAGTACTGGAAGTCTTAGCTAGAGCAATCAATATCTAGAGTCCTAGCTAGAGCAATCAGGCAAGAAAATGAAATAAAAGGCACTCCAACTGGAAAAGAGAAAGTCCAATTGTCCCTCTTTGCTGATGATATAATCTTATATTTTGAAAAACCTAAAGACTCAACCCAAAGTAACAGATAAAAAGAAAACTAATCTCTTGAAAAACATAGATGAAAAACTTACAAAAGCAGCCGGAGAACTGGGGGTACTCACTGGAACAGAGAACCATGAAGATGAAACAGAGAGATAAGAAAGTTGTGTCAAAGACCTTTCATGGTGCTTTGTTGTTCCAGTAGATAAAAATGATGTTAGGTACAGAGAGCTCCCTGAAACAGATGCTGACCTCAAGAGAATTTGCAAGACAACAGTTGAGGCTGAAAGCTTTTGCTCCCATTCAGGAAATGATGACTTTTGTGCAGTTTGCTAATAATGAATGTGATTATGGGATGGGGCTTGAGTTGGGAATGGACCTCTTTTGCTATGGCTCACATTATTTTCATAAAGTTGCTGTCCAGCTTTTACCTCTTGCATATAATCTGTTGAAGAGGAATCTGTTTGCAGAAATTATTGAGGATCATCTGGCAAACAGAAGTAAAGAGAACATAGACCAACTTGCTGCATGAGTAAGGTGACTTTGGTGTACAATATTTCAAAGGGTTAGTATTAAACTTGTGATTTTTGTTTTGTTTTTAAGGAATGTAAAAAATAAACGTTTACTAAAAATGTTAAAAAAAAGACTCCACCTGAAAACTCTAAGATTTAATAAATGAGTTCAGATAAGTTGTAGAACAGAAAACAATATACAAAAATCAATAGCATTTTTATACATCAGTAATGATCTAGCTGAGAAGGAAATCTCATTTATAATAGCTACAACAACAACAACAACAACAACAACAAAACCCACCAAACCTAGATACAAAGTTAACCAAGGAGGTGAACAATCTCTACAAGAACTACAAAATACTAATGAAAGAAATTGAAGGTGACAAAAAGAAGTGGAAAAACATCCCATGTTCATGGATCAGAAGAATTAATATCATTAGTATGACCATATTGCCCAAAGCAATCTACAGATTCAATACAATCCCTATCAAAATGCCAATGTCATTCTTCACAGAATTAGAAAAAACAATCCTAAAATTTATATGGAACCAAAATAGAGCCCAAATAGCCAAAGCAATCCTGAGCAAAACACAACAAAGCTGGAGGTATCACGTCACCTCACTTCAAAATATATTACAAGGCTATATAGTAACCCAAACAACATGATATTGGTATAAACATAGACACAAAGACCAATGGAACAGAAAAGAGAATCCAGAAATAGTCACATATTTGCAGCCAATGGATCTTCAGCAAAGCCTAGGAGAACTTAGGTTAAGGAAAGGATACCATGTTCAATAAATGGTATTGGGAAAATTGGATAGCTACTTTCAGAAAAAGGAACTGGATCCGTATCTTTCACTGTAAGCAAAAACCAACCAAAAATGGATTAGAGTTAAACATAGGACCCCAAACTATAAAAATACTAGAAGGAAACCTAGAAAAAACTCTCCTGGGCATTTGTCTAGGCAAAGAATTTGTGACTAAGACTTCAAAAGCATAGGCAACAACAACAAAAATAGACAAATGGGACTTAATTAAACTGAAAGTCTTCTGCACAACAAAGAACATAATAATCAGAGTGAAAAGATGACCTGTTGAATGACAGAAAACATTTGCAAACTATTTGTCCAACAAGTGACCAATATCCAGAATATACAAACAAATCAACAGGAGAAAAACAAATAGTCCCATCAAAAGGGGGCAAAGAACATGAATAGATATTTCTCAAAAGAAGACATACAAATGGCCAAGAGCTATAGGGAAAAATGCTTGACATCACTAATCATCAGATAAATACAAACCAAAACCACAATGAGATAGTATCTTAATCTAGACTGCAGAATGGCTATTATTAAAAAGTCAAGAAATAATGAATGTTGGTGAGGATGCAGAGAAAAGGAAACTCTTATACACTGTTTGTGGGAATGTAAAATAGTACAGCCGCTATGGAAAACAGCATGGAGATTTCTCCAAAACTAAAAATAGAATCAACATTCAATCAAGCAATCTCACTACTGGGTATTTACTCAAAGGCAAATAAATCAATCTATCAAAGGGATACCTGCACTCATGTGTTTATTGCAGCAGTATTCACAATAGCAAAGATATAGAATCAACCTAAGTGTTCATTAGTGGATGAATGGATAAAGAAAATGTGGTATACAATGGAATACTCTTCAGCCATAAAATAGAATGAAATGTCATTTGCAGCAACATAGATGGAACTGGAGGTCATTTTCGTAAGTGAAATAAGCCAGGTTCAAAAAGACAAATATTGCATGTTATCACTTTATGCAGGAGATAGGGAATGGAAAGATAGGTAACTGAGACTGGGAAGCATAATTCGGAGAAGTGGGGAGGTTGAAGAGTGGTGGGCTAAAGAGCACAAACATACAGTTAGAGGAATAAAATTCAGGTCTTATAGCAGAGGAGGGTGACTATAGTTAATAGAAATGTGTCGTATCTGAATAATGTACACCCTAAATACCCTGACTTGATCATGACACATTACATGCATTAACTAAATTTCACATGTACCCCATATATTTGGACAAATAAAAGTAATTTTAAAAAATAATTTTAGCTGGGTGCAGTGGCTCACGCCTGTAATTCCAACACTTTGGGAGGCCAAGGCGGGTGGATCACGAGGTCAGGAGATCGAGACCATCCTGGCTAATGCAGTGAATCCCCATCTCTACTAAAAATACAAAAAAAATCGGCCGGGCACGGTGGCTCACGCCTGTAATCCCAGCACTCTGGGAGGCCGAGGCAGGCGGATCACGAGGTCAGGAGATTGAGATCATCCTGGCTAACACAGGTGAAACCCCATCTCTACTAAAAATACAAAAAATTAGCCGGGCGTGGTGGCGGGTGCCTGTAGTACCAGCTACTCGGGAGGCTGAGGCAGGAGAATGGTGGCAACCCGGAAGGCGGAGCTTGGCGTGAGCCGAGATCGCGCCAGTGCACTCCAGCCTGGGCGACAGAGCCAGACTCCGTCTCACACATACACACACACACACACACAAAACAACAACAACAACAAAAATCAGCTGGGCATGGTGGCACGTGCCTGTAGTCCCAGCTACTCGGGAGGCTGAGGCAGGAGAATCGCTTGAACCCGGGAGGCAGAGGTTGCAGACAGCTGAGATTGCACCACTGCACTCCAGCCTGGGCGAAAGAGCAAGACTCTATCTCAAAAATAATGATGATAATAATAATAATTTTAATGGCTTAAAAAGTAGAACCAACCTAAATCGCCACCAGCTGATGAACGGATAAATAAAAGGTGGTACATCCATACTAATACATGCTACAACACGGATGAACTTTGGAAAATTATTCTAAATGAAAGGAGCCAGTCCCAAATGACCAAAGTGTATATATAACTCGATGTATATGAAATAGGCTAATCTATAACAACATGTTTAGTGGTTGCCTAGAAATAGGGAGTAGTGGGAGGCCAAAGAGTATGGGGTTTCTTTTCAGGTTGATGAAAATGTCTAAAATTGATTGTAGTGATGATTTCACATCTCTGTGAATATATTAAAAACCAATGAATCATTTTTTAAAAGGAAGATGAGGAATATTATTAAGTGAAACTATAAGCCCAATCTTAAATCCTTCCTCAGCCCCCAAATAAAAGATTAGTGCCATTTTTAAAATGAGTTCAGAGAATTATCTTGTTTGGTAAATTTGTGTCTAAATTTCTGGTTATTCTTTTTTGATATTTTTCCTAGAAATGGAATTACTGCTTCAAAAGGTATGAACTCTGGATTCAGACTCCAGGTCATTCTCCCATCTCAGATCTCTTACCAGCTTTGTGACCTGGGTAATGAAGCCCTTGGTTTTCTCATTTGTAATGTGGGCATCATATTATAGAGTTGTTGAATAATACATAAAAAAATTTTAGCCCAGGCCTGTAACTCAATAAATGGTAGAAACCAAGAGCACCATCCACTCCGTACTTCATCATGCATTCCATTTAAATGTCATCTCTTGACAGGAGACTTCTTTGCCTATCCCCTTCAACCCAGATATTCTCTACCAGAGTTCCCTGTTTGTTTCTTTTATAGGACCTTTACAATTTGTAATTATTTATTTATCTTATCTTTCTTGCCCATAAAACTAGAAACTCCAGGAAGCTAAAGTAATGTATACCTTATTCACCATTGTATATCCAGAACCCAGCCTAGTGCCTGGCACATAATAGATGTTTAGTAAATATTTGATAATGAATGGATCTAAGCCCTACACAGGACTACAATCACTCAACATCACAGAAGAGAGCCTCTCATATAAATTATGTGGAAATCCCTTTTTTTCCTCCAGCTTTTGCCACTGTCAGGGAATTGAGAAGATAATTTCTGGATGCATAAATACTGTTAATGTTCTTTATGTCATGTGCCAAAAGTATATTATAAGGATATTTGTAAGTAGTGCGTAGTGAATATTAAAATGTGCAAATGTCCACTTTGTATTACCTTCCTAAATATAAATACAACTAAATTTGTATAACTAATGAGCATTCTTAAATGCGAGAGATTTATAAATGTGATCACTCCTTCATTACTCACTATGCTTTTGACAGATTACTAGATACACAAATTATAGGTGTCCAGCACCTTCATTTTTCATCCAGCATTTAGATCTCCTTCTCTGCATTTAATTTAACACAACTCACACCTTCAGCTAACTCAAAGAAAATGCATCAAAATAGAAAATCCATATGTGTTCATTTGAAATGCACACTATAGTAAATAATCTGGGTGTGGTGCTGACAGAGCTTAGTTTTGCAAAACATATATTTAGTCAAATGATATCTACAGAATTACTTTATGAGTCCACAAATCTGATAGCATTTGCCCTCACTATCCTTATTCAATCTTCTGGGAATTCCAGCTCGCTTTATAAGAATAAAACTAAATGGACATTTTGTCCTCATCATTTCTATCCTAATGAGAAATGTTCTTGTTATTTTTGCATCCTAATTATTTTAAGTGGTCAAACCCAGAGGCTCAAAAAAAAGGAAAAGAAAAGTAGACTCTGAAGGTAAAGTGGCTTAAATACATGTTTTTGAGTTCTGGATTGAGAAGAAGCACTGGAGTAATGATGGGAATATTCAGAATGAACTCTTTCAAGGTTAAGTACATTTGAGAGAAAAATCATACGGATTCAAACACGTACGAAGCTATATGCCTCAATTTATCTTTTTACTTTCTAGACTACTGGTAAACTAAATGAAGAGACTGTGTTTTATACTGTTGTTTCATTTGGTTACTCTTTGTGTTCAACACATTTCCATTTTAAAAGTTAAAGCAGAGAACCAAATAGAAAAAAAGAACACACATTGAATTCAGGCATAACTTCTACCTTATCAAGTACATATAAATTATAACACAAAGATGCTACAGAATAAGCTTTAGGTGAGGGTTTTTAGACTTAGAGGTATGCATTGATTAAATCTCAAGTCATTCTGTTGATAAAATATCAGAAAGACACAAAGCCTGTAAAGGAAATATTAGTCACTATTTGGCTTTGACCTAAAATAACTGAACCTAGAAAAAAATCAGCTAGCAGATATACAAGCAATACCCTCTAAAGTTCATTCAAAGTCATTTTGCTTCATCAGATTCATCTACATTATGAAACAACAAGGCCTTGGTGTTTTCAGGAATCTGTAGATTGAAAGAAAAAGGGACCCAGATTCTAGGCTGTAGAATCACAATTACGATGCTCTGTTATTGACAAGAATTGTAACCTTATATCTCCAGGCCTCAGTTTTTTAATATGTAAATTGAAGGAATTAAATTAGATTGTACTAAGTATCCTGTGAGCTCTAATGTCCTAGACGTCAATGTTCCTAATGAACATCATAATGTTAAGAGCATCCCACCCACCTGAATACTTAATACTTAAAGCCTTTGGTGAATATTCTCCTTCTCATCAAACACTATACTTTTAAAATGGGTTTCTATTGGCTGGGAATTGAGAGCACAAAACACAGACTTTTGTCTTCTTCATAATTTTGTCTAGGCATGGCCACTGCCTTTTCTTTGTCCTTATATGTTGCAGTAGCATAGTGGCTTTGGAATCAGGTAGACCTGAGCTGAAGTGTCAGCTTTACCAGTAACTAGTTTATGACCATCTTAAGCAAGTCACTTAATATTTTTGAAATGTAGTTTCTTCATCAGTAATGTAAGCATGTGAATAATATCTATTTCATAAGGTTTTGTAAGGATTAAACAAGATGGCACATAAAAAGCCTTTGGATTTGAAGATCAACCTAGTGTGTGTGTGTGTGTGTGTGTGTGTATACACACACACATATATATAAATAAAGACTTTGGTGTACTGCCTGCCACATGGTAAGTGTTCAATTATTATTGACTGTCTCTTCCTATCTTAATGTGTGCTATGGATTTGTGTGGTTGGGAGGGCTTTGGGCTTGCACTTGAAGGTGAGCAGAGATTGGTGCAATAGAGTAGGTTAAAGAGAATGGGTTTGGAAGGGCAAATGTAAAATGCCAAATTTAAGTTTCAAAAAGAAAATTTGTACAACAGTGATTTTAAAGTCTATTTATAAAGCTAAATTAAGCAACACTAAGGGAACTCTTATCTTGTTTTTATTTAGCAAATTGGTGACAAAATGCATGTCTGCAATTAAGAATTTCCAAACTAAGCTCAGTAAATCCCAAATTTGGATTCTTTCATTAAAAACTACCTTCTGCAAATTAAAGAAAATATCCAAAAATGTTACTTAATAGATCTGAGTGGTAAGAGTGTAGGTAACATTTACTTGCTCCTTTATATATACTACATATATTTTCCAAGTTTTTGTTTTCTAAAGTAATAGTATTACTTTATAATAAAAAATTAGTCATTATGGGGAAAAAAGATGTGAATCTTTCATGGATATGTTTTTAGAACTTAGATTCTCCAGTAGCTATTTAGTATTTGCACTTTTTTTTCTGTTAATAATGTATTTATTTAGCCCTCCTCTGTGTCTGCAGCATCAAAGTTGCTGCCTCAAAGACTGTGAAATTCTAAGATGATTTCAATACATCAAACACTCCCACTGGGATACAGTAGAAAGATCCAAGTTCAGGGTGAGGAGGGGAAAGCAGTCAAAGAAACCAAGATTTAAAAAAATTTTATATACATTTATTATGCAGATATATACATGTATACAAACATACGCAAATACATACATAAACTTACATACACATACAAATACACACTGCTCCCACATCATCACTTTCTGTTGCTTTTTATACTGGATAAGGTTTGATTATTGCTAATGATACCCAGCTGTGCCAATTCCTTGAGCTCTATACCCATGCTTTTCTTTCTAAGATCTAATTTTTCTTGCCATTTAAATAGTTTTCCAAAATGAGGGCATTCTGACAGACCCTGATCTAGCATATGGTTGGCAAATACCCAATGAGTACAGGATGCTTAGCCAGATAATTCAGATACCACAGATGTGGCCTCTGCCTAAATGACCTTAAATGGGCCCCAGGGCCTAGAGGCTGAAGGCATGCTAAGAGACCAAATTAGAAGTCACAGTTAATGGGAAAGTGCATTAACCCCCAACTTATTCATCTAGGAATAGGCATATGTTCAGAATTATTAGTGGCTTTTAGGGAGGGCTAGCTTTATATATTCATTTCCTTTCAGAGTTAGAGAAGAAATTAGAAACCATGTAGTCCTACCACATCATTTTCACATATGAAAAAATAGAGCCAGAGATGCTAAGTATTTCACAGAGAGCCATCATGCCTCCTAATACCTTGAATCTAATGTGAGTCTTTGGTTGTAAGCAATAGAATCTTCCCTGGCTAACCTAAGCAAAAGTAATCATGTTGGAAGACTATGGGGTGCTCACAGAAGTAAAGCAAAGCCTAGAGTACCAAGATCAGAAAAAACAAAAACCAGTTAGCTTTGTTAGTCTCAGGAATAGGAACTGAAAGAGCCATCATTGAATAAGAGGTGCCAACTGTTGTTTTACCCTTATCTCTGCATCATTACATTAAAGAGTTATGTTAAAGTTGCATCATTACATTAAAGAACCAGGAAGAAACAGTCAGATTGACCTACCTTGAGTCATTCGTCCACACCCTGGCCAGTAGAGGCAGGTACTTTATTCAAGTTTTCTCACCAAGTTTTCACTTAATAGGGGAAGTAATTCCACAAAAGGAAATTGGAATACTATTATACTATTACTCAAAAAGCAAAAATGGATTTTTAAAATGCTGTGTCTACTATAATTATCCAGTGTTCATTTTACCACATCAAACAGTCTTGTTTAGGTAGAGAAAGTCATGTGTTCATAAACACCTTCCTCATATTGCTTACAGATTTATAAATTTCTAAAATTGACAATTTACATATTCTAACTTTGTCCTGTGTCACTTGTTGACAAGCAAATACTCCTGAAGTAGGTAATACATTTATAAATTAGGCGTTTGAGAACTCTGTGTGCAACATGATGGGAAAGGACAGTGAAAGGAGAAGTCAAGGATACCAATGCCAAACATTGTCTTCATGCTTTTCTTTAGTCTTGACCCTGGTGTAAGGCTCATAAAAGTTTGCATTTTTGTTCTACTCCCTTTCAGCTAAATCCTTCTCTTTTGCAGGAATTAATTAAGTACCTGGAGATTAGTTATTTTCAACAAGGGTCCTTAGTCAGGTGAGCTGATATTTCTTCATGAGATTGTGAAAAGAACACAGAAAATACATAGAAAAGGACATAGAAAAATTCAGAGAAAAAGAAAATCCCTACCAATGCCCTTCTTTTCCCTCAGATATCCCCCTTGGAATAGGAGAAATAAAAATTGATTAATATTTTCCAATTTACCAGGAATAAGGCTTGCTTTCCAAAATTTCTGCACAGGGCCAAAAATGCATAGCAATACTAATGTTCAGGACAGAAATTGTGCAGGTGGGGTAGAGCAAGACAGCAAAATAGAAGCCTATATACTATTTGTTCCCTCTGCAGGAACATCAAATTTTAACAACTATCTGCATACAGAAAAGAAGAGTCACAAGAACCAAAAACCAGGTGAGCAATCACAGTACCTGGTTGTAACTTCATCTTGCTGAAAGAGGCATTGAGGAGGGGAAGAGAGACAGTCTTGAATCACGATGCCACCTCTTCCCCAGTATACAGCAGCAGCCATGTAGCACAGGGACAGAATCTGTGCATTTGGAGGAGAGAGAGTGCAGTGACTAGAGGGCTTTACACTGAACTCAGCGCTGTTCTGTCAGCAGAAAATAAAGCCATGTTGGGCTTAGCCAGCACCCCATCCACAGAGGGAGCATTTGGACCAGGGCTAGCCTGAGGGGAATTACCCATCCCGCAGTCAGAGCTTGAGATTCTCGGCAAGCCTTGCCACCGTGGGCCAAAGTGTTCTGAATTCCTAGGTAAACCTGAAAGGCAGTCTAGGACACAAGGACTGCAATTTCTAGGCAAGTCCTCATGCTGGGCTGGGCTCAGAGTCAGTGGACTAGGGTGACATGTGACCTAGGGAAACACCAGCTGGGGGGCTGAAGAAGTATTTATGCCAGTCCCTGCACTCCAATTCCAGCCAGCAGCAACAAAAGTGCTGGCAGCAACAAAAGTGACTCCTTCTTTCTGCTTAAGGAGGGGAGAGTTAAGAGTAAAGAGGACTTTATCTTGCAACTTGGATATCAACTCAGCCACAGGAGCATAGAGCACTGGTCAGAGTCATAACACTCCCCATTCTAGGCCCTGGCTCATGGAAGATATTTCTAGACATATCCTGGGCCAAAAGGAAACCCACCGACTTGAATGGAAGGACACAGTCCTGGCAGGATTTGTCATGTGCTGACTTAAGAGCCCCTGGGCCCTGAATAACCAGCAGCAATAACCAGATAGTACACCATGGGCCTTGGGCTCTGAAACATACTGACTTCAGGTGTCTCCAAGCACATTCCCAGCTGTGGTGGCTATGGTGAAAGATTCCTTCTGCTTGAGAAAAGCACAGGGAAAAGTAAAGGGGTCTTTTTCTTGCACTTCAGGTACCAGCTCAGCCACTGGGGTAGAACAATAAGTAAGCTCTTGGGGTCCCCAAGTCCAGATCTATGCTCTTGAACAGAATTTCTGGACCTGCCCTGGGCCAGAGGGGAGCCCATTCTCCTGAAAGGAGAGTCCCTGGCTTGGCAGCATTCACTACAGCCTGACTGATGAGCCCTGGGGTTTAAGTGAACATCAGTAGTGGCTTGGAAGAACCCACTGTGTGCTGGTGATGGTGGTGGCCACAGGGAGAGGCTCCTGTACTTGTGGAAAGGGGAGAACGTGAAAGACTTTGTATTGCGGTTTGAGTGCTAGCTTAACCACAGTAGAGTAGAACATCAAGGAAATTTCTAAAGTTTTTGACTGCAGTCCCTGGCTCCCAAACAGCATCTCTGGACCGGCCCAAAGCCTAGGGAAACTTATACCCCAAAGGGACGAATATAAAACTGGCTGGTTTCACCACCTGCTGATTATAGAGCCCTAGGGCCTTGAGTAAACATAGGGGGTATCATATCACCCCAGTTAAATTGCCTTTTATCCAAAAGACAGACAATAACAAATACTGGAGATGTAGAGAGAAGGGAACCCTGTACACAGTTGGTGGAAATGTAAATTAGTACAACCCATACAGAGAACGGTTTGGAGGTTCCTCATAAAACTAAAAATAGAGCTACCATATGATCCAGCCATCCCACTGCTGGGTATACACCCCAAAGAAAGGAAATCAGCATATCAAAGAGATATCTGCACTCCCATATGTGTTGCAGCCCTGTTCACAATAGCCAAGATTTTGAAGCAACCTAAGTAACCATCATCAGATGAATGCATAAAGAAAATGTGGTACATATACACAATAGAATACTATTCAGTCATAAAAAAGAATGAGATCTAGTCTTTTGCAACAACATGGATGGAATTGGAGGTGATTACGTTAAGTGAAATAAGCCAGGCACAGAAAGACAAACATACGTCCTCACTTATTTGTAGGATCTAAAAGTCAAACCAATTGAACTCATGGAGATACAGAGTAGAAGGATGGTTACTAGAAGCTGGGAAGGTTAGTGGGTGTGGGAGGGGGAGTGGGGATGGTTAATGGGTACAAAAAAATAGAATGAATGTCTTAGTATTGGATAGCACAACAGAGTGACTGTAGTCAATAATAATTTAATTGTTCATTTTTAAATAACTAAATTAGTATATTTGGATTGTTTGTAACATAAAGGATAAATGCCAGAGGGGATAGATACCCCTTTTTCATGATGTGATTATTATTCATTGCGTGCCTGTATCAAAATATCTCATGTACCCCATAAATATATATACCTAATATGTACCTACAAAAATTAAAAATCAGAAACTCTTTTAAAAAAGGAATTGTGTAGATCCAGTTTTCCATTGACATATAATTCTAAAGTAATTGGAAATATGCTTTCTGTTTTCTTTTCCTGTCTTTCAAAATTTATGTTTAAAATATAATTTCCAGAAGGAGGAAAGAACTAACATTGTTTGAATACCACACATTAACTCTACACAACAGGTATTTTTATTGCCATTTTCTTTAGAGATATAAAAACAAAGTCTTAAATTGATTAAGTAACTTGTCAATTTTTAGATTGCAGAATAAGTCCTGCTCTAGAATTAATACGTGTGTTTAATCATAACATTTATATACTTTTTCTATAATGTTATTATCCTACTCATCACACCTGCAAGAAAAACCTACAGTGCAGAAGATGAAAACTGAAAGATAATTTTTTATCATATAATACTGAAAATATATAGCATGGGAAATCTATTTTAATCTGTTAAAATATCCAACTATCATACAAGATCTGTAGGTGTATTTGCATGTGTAATATTTAGTTAATCCACTGTATTTTAGGCTCCTCATTGCGGGAGGGTGACACATCTGTTTTGTTTGCTCCTATATCACCAGCGCCTAGTATGGAACCTGGCACAGAGAAAGAGCTCAATAAATACTGATTGAATGGATGTTCTTGGATGCTCCATTTCACTCACTATCTCATAGATTACTAAACTTTTATACTGCTTTCTAATCTACAAATTTTCTTCTTTAATCAGTTTGCTAATTCATTCAGCTTTTGATACACAGGAATAAAATCTAATAATTCATGATGCCATTTTAGAAGTTATTTTGTTGTGGCCGGGCACGGTGGCTCACACCTGTAATCCCAACACTTTGGGAGGCTGAGAGGGGCAGATCACCTGAGGTCAGGAGTTCAAGAGCACCAACATGCTGAAACCCTGTCTCTACTAAAAATACAAAAATTAGCTGGGCATGGTGGTGTATGCCTGTAATCCCAGCTACTTGGGAGGCTGAGGCAGGAGAATCGCCGGAACCCAGAAGGCAGAGGTTGCAGTGAGCCGAGATCACACCACCGCACTCCAGCCTGGGTGACAGAGAGAGACTCCATCTCAAAACAATAAAAATAAAAATAAATAAAATAGAAGTTAATAGCCGAGAGCGGTGGCTTGCGGCCTGTAATCCCAGCACTTTGGGAGGCCGAGGTGGGCGGATCATTAGGTCAGGAGATCAACACCATCATGGCTAACATGATGAAACCCCATCTCTACTAAAAAATACAAAAAATTAGCCGGGTGTGGTGGCGGGCACCTGTAGTCCCAGCTACTCGGGAGGCTGAGGCAGGAAAATGGTGTGAACCCGGGAGGCAGAGCTTGCAGTGAGCCGAGATCGCGCCACTGCATTCCAGCCTGGGCAACACAGTGAGACTCTGTCTCAAAAAAAAAAAAAAAAAAAGAAGTTATTTTGTGGTTTTTGTTGTATGCTACCAGACAGATGGTGCTAGAAAAGAGAACATACTTTGAGAAGCATTCTTACAGTGGACACTGTTGGAGTCTCACCCAGATCCTCTATTCCAGGGAATTGCCCTCAGCTGACAGAAGTTGCCTGGCCTGCTAGGTTTATACCCCTTTCCTTACAGCCTGCCTCTCACAACCCCTTCCAGGACACTCCACAGCAAATAACTGACTGAAATGTATGTACCAAAAGCCAGTCCTTTCAGCTCAATGTAAGATTAATTCTATGGTACAATTTGTGTGTCAGAACTTCCTTGTGGAATCAGACTGAATCTAGTCTGAAACTGAGACCACATTGATGCTTAGCTTTCCCCTCTGTCCTATCCTGCTTCCCTATCTTCCTGTGTGACTCCTCCTTTCCTGAAAGAACTTTCTAAATAAAATATTTGAACAAGAATTCTGCTTTCAGGCTCTGCTTCTAGGGAATTCAGTGCAACAATATAGGAAAACACAGAGTAATGTGAATTAACATTTCTAATATAAATGTTTGATACAAGTAATCAGAACCCGAGCCAAAAACTGACATTCTGTTCAAAAAATTTATCCTTATTTTCAATTACAATATCTACTTCTTTATAATAACTTTTCATCAAAACCTAAAATAGGCTGGGCATGATGTCTCATCCTGTAATCCCAGCACTTTGGGGCATGGTGTCTCATCCCTGTAATCCCAGCACTTTAGGAGGTCAAGGCTGGAGGACAGCTTGTGCTCAGGAGTTTGAGACCAGCCTGGGCAACACAGCAAGACTTCATCTCTACTAAAAATAAAAACAAAACAAAACAAAAATCCTAAAACAACAGAATAATAATTCCTGAAAGTTAATGTGAGTTAATTTTCTTTGTTTACATTATACCCTCTGGGGTTTTTACTTTCAATAGTCTTTGGGGTATAGGTGGTTTTTGGTTACATGGATAAGTTCTTTAGCAGTGATCTCTGAGATTTTAGTCCACCTGTCACCCAAGCAGTGTACACTGTACCCAGTTTGTAGTCTTTTATCTCTCACCCCCCTCACCTTCCCCCACAGGAGTCCCCAAAGTCCATTATATCACTCTTAGGCCTTTGTGTCCTAATGTGAGTTAATTTTCAATAAATAATTAAATCTATGTGTAAAATAATATAAAATCCACTGCTGAAATGAAAAAGGAGTTATACATATGTGTAAAGAGTTTTAATCAACAAACACTGACAGTCACAAACACTGAATTACCAGTCATTTATCAAATATTTAAGTGGTTTTAAATATTTGAAACTACTAAGGTAGATCCCTTATATGCAAATATAAATACAATATGTTACTTAATATAAAGGAACGTAGAATCCTCCTAGATGAAATGGATCTCTAAACAGATAAATGATTCCTAAACTAACTACTAATTTTTAAATAATGATAATTATAGAAAAACTTAAAAATTATCAAAATTCTACTGTTTGGAGATTAATATTAAATTAATTTAACATTCTTTATAAATATATATCCTTTTAATTCTTTTCCTATGTTAAATATATAGAAACACATTTTAATAAAAAATAAGATTACTTATATATACTATTTTATAATCTGCTTTTAAAAAATTACAGTATATTCTCAGTATATCCTCATGTAATTAAATATTCTTCTATAACATCAATTTCAAGGATGCACAGTATTGCATTATATGGGTGTATCATATTTTGTTTACATAATTAATTAATTATTATTGGATGCTGATTTTTTGCAGTATTGCTTTCTTATTAGTGTTGCTACAGTGAACCTGTGAAACTAAATCCATGTGAACATAAATGATTATTTACTTGGGATAGATTTGTAAAGTGGAATTGCTGAATCAAAGCAGTGAGTGTTTCTAAGGCTTTTGTTATTTATCACAAAATTGTCTTTATGATTGTGCCCATTTCACCAAACTTTAGCCAGTAATGACTGCAAGTATATACATGGCTGGGCGTGGTGGCTCACGCCAGTAATCCTAGCAATTTAGGAGGTCAAAATGGGCGGATTGCCTGAGCTGAGGAATTCCAGACCAGCCTTGGCAACGTGGTGAAACCCCGTCTCTACTAAACATACAGAAAATTAGCTGGGCATGGTGGTCTGCACCTGTAATCTCAGCTACTTGGGAGGCTGAGGCAGGAGAATAGCTTGAACCCGGGAGGTGGAGGTTGCAATGAGCCGAGATCATGCCATTGCACTCCAGCCTGGGCGACAGAGAGACTCTGTCTCAAAAAAAAAAATTATATACATATATACATATATAAATATATGTATAAGTATATACAAATATACATATATAAATATATGTATAAGTATATACAAATATACATATATAAGTATATGTATAAGTATATACAAATATACATATATAAGTATATACAAATATACATATATAAGTATATGTATAAGTATATACAAATATACATATATAAGTATATGTATAAGTATATACAAATATACATATATAAGTATATATAAAAATTATATTTTTTATATTTTATATATATATAATTCTTGTTAAAAATTACAAGATTTTTTGTCCAATTTGATAAGTGAAATGGTACCATATTTAAGTTGTTTTTCTCTGCATACTAGAGATGGAGTCTCCGTCTTGTCGCCCATGCTGGAGTGCAGTGGCACAATCTCGGCTCACTGCAACCTCTGCCTCCTGGGTTCAAGTAATTCTCCTGCCTCATCCTCCTGAGAAGCTAGGATTACAGGCACCCATCACCATGCCCAGCTAATTTTTGTACTTTTAGTAGAGACAGGGTTTTGCCATGTTGGCCAGGCTGGTCTTGAGCTCCTGACCTTAGGTGATCCGCCCGCCTCGGCCTCCCAGATTGCTGGGATTACAGGCATGGGCCACCACGCCTGGTCATTTTTTTTTTACTTCTAATAGATAATTCATAATACAATTTAGTTTTTAAATGGAAATATTAATAATATTTCAGGCAATAAAAATATAAAATAAATGATTTTTATTAGTAATATTTCCATAAAGATTGATTTGTTATCTTATGACCCTGTTCATGAACTAGGTACTACTATTGTCTCCCATTTTCTGAATGAAGAAACTAAGGCTTAGAGAGGCTAAGTCACCTAAGATAAAATATAAGAGAGCCAAATTCTAACCCCAGGCTGCCTAAATCCAGATTCTGAGTTGTTAATCTCTACCATACATTCCCACCTTTAAATGCAAACTTGCAAACTGTCAAAATGAAATTACAATTTTTTAAAAATGACATATTGGGGAACACCAAACATATACCTGGACCCAACCTATCTTTCCAGCCTTCATTCCTATCATTTCCCAGAAGTCTTCTCCTATATCATCCTTCAAGGCTCAATCTTTAACATAAACCCCTCTGTTAAATCTCCTCAATCTTTTTTGTTTGAATTAATACATTTCACTTCTTATCTTATAATAGTTTTAGTTTGAACTAATAGATTTCATTAATTATAACAGTTTTTGATTTATTAAAAAAATTGAACAGAAAGATCAGAGAATTTACACGTACTCTCTCTGCCTTTTGGGCACTCCCCTGATTTTTGAAGGCAGAAATAGGCCCTCCCTTTGCTGTGTGCTCATAATAACATATACACAATTCAGTATTCTATTTAATCCACATAGCAGTTATACTTCACAGTAAACTGCAAGTTTCTTGAGAACAGGTATGTTTTATTGATCTGTTTCCCAAAGGCCTAGCACAGTTTCCACCATATACCATGTGTATAATTGCAAAATAGAAGTTACCAGGCACTTGTGAAGCCTGATTTGTTATCTTATGACCCTGTTTGTGAACTAGGTACTATTATTGTCTCCCATTTTCTGAATGAAGAAACTAAGGCTTAGAGAGGCTAAGTCATTGAAGATAAAAATGGGAGAGCCAGATTCTATCCCAGGCTGTCTAAATCCAGATTTTGAGTTGTTAATCTCTACCATACATTCCCACCTTTAAATGCAAACTTGCAAATAGTTTAAAATTTGTTTCCTCATCCATTAACTGGAGTTATATCAAACAACCTACATACCTCATAGGGTGGTTGGGAAAATTGACATAATTCTCTATTTTGCAAGCTATTTTGATAATTATTAGTATTGTTTTCAGTTGGGATGTCTTTATCAAGGCTCCAATTTAGTATAGTTTAGCCACTATACTACACATAAGGAATGGAAAAATAAAAGAAATAAGAACCTTAAGAGAATGAAGTTACCAAAGTCCAAACACACATAATATATAAGTGCTGTTATACAGGTAGCTATTAATATATCAACAATGTGAGATGGAAGAATTAAGTCCACATGTGAGACTCAGAGAGAGTTTCACAGGGAGGAAATGCTGGCTTAAAAGTGTCCCTACGTTACTAGACAAGAGCTTCTGTCCTTTTTTCCAAACATTTTCTTGCCATTTAAAATATTTTTATAGATTTAGGGGATACAAATACAGTTTTGGATATGAATATATTACATAGGGCTGAAGTCTGGGTTTATAGTGTAACCATCACCTACATAGTGTACATTTTACTAAACCGATAATTTCTCGTCCTTCACTCCCCTCCCACCTCTCACCTTTTGGATTCTTCAAAGTCTCTATGTCCATGTGTACACATCGATTAGTTCCCACTTATAAGAACATGAGGTATTTGACTTTCTGTTTCTGAGTTATTTCAGTTACTATAATGGCCTCAAGTTTTGTTTTGTTTTGTTTTGGTTTGTTTTTTTGAGCAACAAGGCTGTTTATTTCACCTGGGTGCAGGCGGGCTGAGTCCGAAAAGAGAGTCAGCAAAGGGTGGTGGATTATCATTAGTTCTTAAAGGTTTTGGGATAGGTGGTGGAGTTAGGAGCAATGTTTTGCGGGCAGGGGGTGGATCTCACAAAGTACATTCTCAAGGGTGGGGAGAACTACAAAGAACCTTCTTAAGGATGGGGAAGATTACAAAGAACCTTCTTAAGGGTGGGGGAGATTACAAAGTACATTGATCAGATAGGGCAGGGCAGAAACAAATCACAGTGGTGGAATGTCATCAGTTAAGGCTATTTTCACTTGTTTTGTGGATCTTCAGTTGCTTCAGGCCATCTGGATGTATACGTGCAGGTCACAAGGGATATGATGGCTTAGCTTGGGCTCAGAGGCCTGACATTCCTGTCTTCTTATATTAATAAGAAAAATAAAACAAACTAGTGGTAAAGTGTTGGGGCGGCGAAAATTTTTGGGGGTGGTATGGAGAGATAATGGGCGATGTTTCTCAGGGCTGCTTTGAGCGGGATTAGGGTTGACGTGGGAACCTAGAGTGGGAGAGATTAAGCTGAAGGAAGATTTTGTGGTAAGGGGTGATTTTGTGGGATTGTTAGAAGGAGCATTTGTCATATGGAATTATTGGTGATGGCCTGGATGCTGTTTTGTATGAATTGAGAAACTAAACGAAAGACACAAGGTCCGAATAAAAGAAGGAGAAAAATAGGTATTAAAGGACTAAGAATTGGGAGTACCCAGGATGTCCAATTAGAGATTGTCCGAGGGGATTCAACGTTATTGTTTGCTTGGTTGGCGAGTTTTTGGGCTCTAACCTTGACTTTTTTTATGTTGTCATATACCAGGCCAGATTGATTTAGGTAAAAACAACACTCTTCATTTAAAAATGTACAGAGTCCTCTCTTTTTTAACAGTGAATAAGTCGAGGACTTCACGATTTTGGAGGAAAGACAAATGCAAAGCCAGCAATTGTTTGTTAAAGAAGGATTAGAAATGGCTAGGAGAGAGTGAGTTTGATAGTGTGGTGGAGATAGCTGGGGAGAGGTAGAGGGTGGCATAAGAACGGGAATGAGAATAAGAGTGAGTATAAAAGTAAATAATGGGACTTCATCAGGGTGAAAGTATTGGAGGGTACCTTGCCGCAGAAGATCTTCTATCCACTTCAAGAGAGACTTAACGGTGGCGATTTGAGGTAAAACCAGGAGCCACTAAATACCAAAAGCCTGAGAAACTGAGGTGGGAAGGCCAAACCGAGGAACTATGTCTGACAGAAGGGAAGAAATGACCGCGGTGGCCTTCTCAGACCCTGTGGGAAAGGCCTCTACCCATCCAGTGAAAGTGTCTACCCAGACCAAGAGGTATTTTAGTTTCCTGACTTGAGGCATGTGAGTAAAGTCAATTTGCCAGTCCTGGGCGGGGGCAAATCCCTGAGCTTGATGTGTAAGGAAGGGAGGGGGCCTGAACAATCCCTGAGGAGTAGTAGAATAGCAGATGGAAGTTTTATCCATGTTGCTGCAAAAGACATGATTTCATTCTTTTTATGGCTGAGTAGTATTCCATCGTGTGTGTGTGTATGCATATCACGTTTTCTTTATCCAGTCATTGATTGTTGGACACAAGTTTATTCTATATGTTTGTTATTGTGAATAGTGCTGCAATAAACATAAAAGTACAGGTATCTTTTTTATACAACTATTTCTTTTCATTTGGGTAGATACCCAGTAGTGAGATTGCTAGCTCGAATGTCAGTTCTATTTTTAGTTATTTGAGAAACCTTCATACTGCTTTCTACAGAGGTTGTATTAATTTACATTCCCACCAAAGTGTTTAAGAGTTCCCTTTTCTCTGCATTCTCACCAACATCTTTTGTTTTTCTGACTTTTGAATAATAGCTACTCTAGCCAGGAATGGTGGCTAATGCCTATAATCCCAGAACTTTGGGAGGCTGAGGCAGGAGGATTGCTTGGGCCCAGGAGTTCAAGACCCACCTGGGCAACATAGGGAGATGTTGTCTGTACACAATTTAAAAATTAGCCAGGCTTTGTGGCATGCATGTATGGTCCCAGCTACTTGGGAGGGTAAGGAGGGGGAATTGCTTGGGCCTGGGATGTTGAGGCTGCAGTGAGCCATGATCATGTTGCTGCACTCCAGCCTTGGAGATAGAGCAAGACCCTGTCTCAATAATAATAATAATAGCAACTCTGTCTGGTATAAGATATTTTATCATTGTGGTTTTAATTTGCATTTCTCTAATAATTAATGATGTTAAGCAATTTTTTCATGTTTGTTGGCCATGTGTATATCCTCTTTTGAAACTTGCCTGTTCATGTCCTTTGCCCATTTTTAAATGGGTTTGTTTGCTTTTTACTTGTTTGAGATCCTTGTAGATTCTGGATATTAATCCTTTCTTGGATACACAGCTTGCAAATCTTTTCTCCCATTCTGTAGATTGTCTTTTACCTGTTGATTACTTCTTTTGTGGTACAGAAACTTTTTAGTTTAATTGTCTCATTTGTATATTTCATTGTTGTTGTTGCATTTGCTTTTGATGTGTTAGTCATAAGTTATTTGCCTATGACAATGCCTAGAAGATTTTCCCTAGGTTTTCTTCTAGGATTTTTATAGTTTTAGGTATTACATTTAAGTCTCTAATCCATCTTCAGTTAATTTACAAACTTTAAATCAACAATAGTTAAAAAAAAAAGTCTTTATATATATATTTTTTTAATTATACTTTAAGTTCTAGGGTACGTGTGCACAATGTGCAGGTTTGTCACATATGTATATATGTGCCTTGTTGGTTTGCTGCACCCATTAACCCATCATTTACATTAGGTATATCTCCCAATGCTATCCTTCCCACCTCCCCCCACCCCACAACAGGCCCGATGTGTGATGTTCCCCACTCTGTGTCCAAGTGTTCTCATTGTTCAATTCCCACCTATGAGCGAGAACACGCGGTGTTTGGTTTTCTGTCCTTGCGACAATTTGCTCAGAATGATCGTTTCCAGCTTCATCCACTTCATCCATGTCCCTACAAAGGACATGAACTCATCCAAAAAAAAGGTCTTTATATAATGATAAAGAGATCAATTTAACAAAAAGATCTAGCAATCCTAAATATATATGCACCCAACACCACAGCACCCAAATTCATAAAGTAAATACTACTAGACCTAAGGAAATAGATAGACAGCAACACAATAATAGTGGGGGACTACACACTGACAGCATTAGACATACCACTGAGGCAGAAAGTCAAAAAAGAAACTCTGGACTTCAATCAGACTCTAGACCAAATGAATCTAACAGACATTTATAGAACATTGTGCCCAACAATTGCAGAATATATATTCTTTTCATCAATGCATGGGCCATTCTCCAAAATAGAACATATGTTAGGCCACAAAATAACTCAATACATTTTAAAGAATCAAAATTATATCAAGTATCTTCTGGGACAACAGTGTAATAACACTAGAATAATACCCAGAGGAACTCTCAAAACTATACAAATACATGGAAATCAAACAACCTGATTCTGAATGATATTTAGGTTGATAACAAAATTAAAGTGGAAAGTAGGCCAGGCACAGTGGCTCACACCTGTAATCCCAACATTTTGGAAGGCCAAGGTGGGTGGATCACGAGGTCAGGAGTTCAAAACCAGCCTGGCCAAGATGGAAACCCCGTCTCTACTAAAAATACAAAAATTAGCCAGGCACAATGGCAGGCACCTGTAATCCCAGCTACTTGGGAGGCCGAGGCAGGAGAATCTCTTGAACTTGGGTGGCAGTGGTTGCAGTGAGCCAAGATCACGCCACTGCACTCTAGCCTGGGCAATACAGTGAGACTCCATCTCAAGGAAAAAAAAAAAAAAGTGGAAAGTAAAAAAATTTTTGAAACAAATGAAAATAGAGACAAAACATACCAAAACCTCTGGGATACAGCAGAAGTGATACTCAGAGGGAAGTTCATGGCATTAAAGGCCTACGTCAAAAAGAAAGATCACAAATTAACAATCTAACATTGCACCTCAAGAAAACAGCAAAACAAGAAAAACCAAAGGTAGCAGAAGAAAATAAATAACATAACAGGACTAAGTGAAATTGAGACCAAAAACAATATAAAGCATCCATAAAACAAGGAGTTGATTTTTTGAAAAGATAAACAAAATTGATAGACCACTAGCTAGAAAGACCAACAAAAAACAGCAGACTCAAATAAACACAAACAGAAATGAAAAAGAAGTTACTACTGATACCACAGAAATAAAAAAGATCATCAAAGAATACAGTGGGCATACTATGAGCATGCACAAACTAGAAAACCTAGAGAATATGGATAAATTCCTGGAAAAAAATCTCTTAATACTGAACCAAGAAGAAATAGAAATCCTGAACAGACCAATAACTAGTAGTGAGATTGAATGAGAAATAAAAAAATCTCCCTACAAAGAAAAGCCCAGGACCACAGGGATTCATAATCAAATTCTACCAGAATTACAAAGACGAACTGGTACCAATCCTACCAAAACTGTTTCCAAAAATCGAGGAGGAGGGAATTTTCCCTAACTCATTCTACAAAGCCAGTATCATCCTGATACCAAAGCCAGACAAGGACACAACGGAAAAGGAAAACTATGAGTCAATATCCCTGATGAACATAGATGTGAAAATCCTCAGCAAAATACTAGCAAACTAAATCCAAAAGCACATCAAAAAGATAATACACTATGATCAAGTGGGTTTTATTCAAAAGATGCAAGGATGGTTCAACATATGCAAACTCATAAATGTGATTCACCACATAAACAGAATTAAAAACAAAAATCATATGATCATCTCAATAGGTGCTGAAAAGCCATTTGGCAAAATTCAGCATCCTTTCACAATAAAAACCCTCAAGAAACTAGGCATAGAAGGAACATACATCAAAGAATAAAAGCCATATATGATAAAACCACAGCAAATATCATACTGAATGGGGAAAAGTTGAAAGCATTTCCCCCAAGAACTGGAACAAGACAAAAATGCCCACTTTCACCACTCTTATTCATCAGAGAACTAGAAGCCCTGGCTAAAGTAATCTGGCAAAAGAAATAAATAAAAAGTATCCAAATTAGAAAAGAGGAAGTCAAATGATCTCTGTTCACTGATGATATGATCTTATACCTAGAAAACCCTAAACACTCCTCCAAAAGAGTCCTAGACTTGATAAATTACTTCAGTAAAGTTTTAGGATACAAAATCAATGTACAAATATCAGTAGCATTTCTGTATACCAAAAACAATCAAGCTGAGAACCATATCAAGAACTTAATCCCATGTACAGTAGCCACAAAAAATTCAAATGCCTAAAAATAAATTTAACCAAGGAAGTAAAAGATCTCTACAAGGAGAACTACAAAACATTGATGAAAGAAATCACAGATGACACAAACAAGTGGGAAAACATCTCATGCTCATGAATTAGCAGAATTAATATTGTTAAAATTACCATACTATTTAAAGCAATCTACATTTATTTAATGTAGATTTATTCAATGCAATTCCTATCAAATTACCAATGTGATTTTTCACAGAATTAGGAAAAATAATTCTAAATTTATATGGAACCAAAAAGGAGCCCAAATAGCCAAAGCAATTCTAAGCAAAAAGAATAAAGCTGGAGACATCACATACTGGTATAAAAATAGATCAGTGGAACAGAATACAGAACCAAGGAACAAAGCCACATACCTACAACCAACAAATCTTTGACAAAGTCAAGAAAAATATACATTGGAAAGGACACCTTATTCAACAAATGGTGCTGGGAAAATTGGATAGCTGATATGGTTTGGCTCTGTGTCCCTGCCCAGTGAGGTGTCAGAGCACTGGCACCAGAAAGAGATCGACTCGCAAGTTGGTAAAAATAATTTACCAACAACAGTATAAGTTTGAAAAAGCAAAGTTTATTAGAACGGAAGAATGCTGCAAAAGGATGCAGTGGAGTGCCTCACTGAGAAGATTGAGTGATTCCTTAGGGGTATTTATGGACCTTAAGGTGGGAGCTCAGGGTTGTAAAACGAGTTTCAGCATGGCATTCCAGAGATATATAGTTTTAGGTACTTATAAAAGTTGAAAGGGTCCTGGAACCAGATGTAACCAGGTGGCCTTGCTCCTTTCTAAATTCCTCAGATAAGGAATTTTTGTCTCTGGGGTCTGTTAAATGGTCACTAGGTGATTTCTGCTCTCCTCGTTTTCCCCCTGGCAAATATTTTGGTCAAATCTTTGACCCTTTATATTCCCCCATGCTCATGTCTATGTGCTGCCTTTTGGGGTCTCAATAAGAGGGGCATCAAGTGGGGTCTAATAAGAGGGACATCAAGTCTGTCTGGCTACTTCCTGCTGAAAGGAGCAATGAAGGGATAAGTTGTGTTTTTCTCTTTCTTGCTCTCTGTCATGAAGGGAATAAAGGGTCATGAAAAACTCATTCATGGCGGGGGCAGGAGGCAGAGACCAGATTCTATCACGAGGCCCCATGTAAATGGAAGTTGCTGTTGCAGGCTGGAATTGAGATTACATAGCCATCTGTAGGTGGAATTTTTGTAATTTGTAAGATATAAACTTAATGAGAGCATTAAAAAGGCAGGGACTGAATATTAGAAGAATGATAAGGAACAAAGATCCAAAGAATGGGAGAAGCCAAGCGATTTTTAGAAACCAATCAGTAAAGGTTTTGGTCTAGTCTTGGTTACTCTGGGAAAGTGTGTGTAGCCATTTGGCTTGTTTGAAAATTTCTTGGACATCAGTTTCCACTTCTCTGGACACATTAATGTAGGTGTAACAGGTTTTGTTGATGGCAGCACAGACTCCTCCTCGTTCAGCTAGGAGATAATCCAAAGCTCATCTATTATCAAAAACCATTCCTGCTAGTGAGGCTAAAGACTTTTCTATTGCTTATATACTTTTTGCTAAGTCTGTTTCAAAGGAAGCGGTAAGTTCTCATAGTGTGATTTCATGGTAAGTAAAACCTCCCCAAGGAGCGAGAGTTGCGATAGTTCCCACAACTCTGGCCAGAATAAGTCCTAGGGCCCTTTTTTTTTGTAGAATGGAATTCTGAATTGGAAGTTATGTTCAAGACAGTGATTTGGGTAAAAGCTACTGTTCTCAGGTACAATCGCCATAATAAAGAGAATTAGTAAGGTGGGATAGGGCCAAAACTTAAAAAGGCTTTAAATAATTACTGGTGGTGCCACAAAGACACAAGAGTCCAGGAGGGGCAGGTAATGTAGTTTGAGGCTTTTTTGGACTAAGAGGGCCATTGCTGCTAAGCACAGGGGGCTATCCCTTCAAAACCAAGTCTAAAGTTTTTGAAAAATATGCTATAGGCCAGGTGTGGCAAGTCAATCCTATAATCCCAGCTACTTGGGAAGCTGAGGCAGGAGAATCACTTGATCCCAGGAGGCAGAGGTTGTGGTGAGCTGAGATCATGCCACTGCTCTCCAGCCTGGGCAACAGAGTGAGATTCCGTCTCAAAACAAATAAATAAATAAATAAATAAATAAAAAGATCTTATCTTACACATGACAACTCCAGTAACTAAACAACAGCTTTGGTTCTTTCAGGGTGTGGCTGGGTCTGGTAGAATATGGATTCTTTCCTTTGGATTAATAGTGAAACCTTTGTATGAAGCCCTGAAGCCCTCTTTATCCTGGACTAATGATATGAAGGTTGCTCTAAATACTTTAAAATGGGCCTTAATCTTGGCCCTGGCTTTAGCTCTACCAAATCTAACTAAGCCTTTAGCTGATTATAGGCACATACCACCATGCCCAGCTAATTTTTGTATTTTTCTTTTTTTTAGTAGAGACGGCGTTTCACTATGTTGGCAAGGCTGGTCTCAAACTCCAGACCTCATGATCCACCCACCTTGGCCTCCCAAAGTTCTGGGAAGATAAGATCTTTATGAGTGCTAGAGATCCTATTTGTATGGGGGATTAAGATAAGACCCCAAAATTGAAGTCTTTGTGTGGATGTTTGTACCTTAGAAGGAGATACTTTGTACTCACAATCAGAACGATTGTTTAGTACTAATACTGTATTTTGATCTGAAACTGTTAGGACTACAGATTAGCACATACTGGAGTGGATTGCTATCTGGGAGAAGCTGCAGGGTGGACAGGTCTTTAGCTAGGGGCTGTCCAAAAAGGTGGGGGCTATCTCTGAATCCTTGAAGCAAAACTGTCCAAGTTAACTGCTGAGTTATTTGAGTGTCTGGGTCTTGCCATTCAAAAGCAAATAAAAATTGTCTATCCAGGTGTACAGGAATGAAGAAAAAGGAATCCTTAAGATCAAGTACAGTAAGCCTCCTTAAGATTAAGTACAGTAAGCCAAGCTGTGGTGGAGGGAATTTGTTCAAAAAGGGGGTAAGGGTTTGGGACAATAGGATTAATAGGAATAACAGCTTCATTAATAATTCTAAGGTCCTGTACTAGTTGGTAGGAGCCATCTTGTTTCTTTACAGCTAAAATGGGAGTGTTGCAAAGCGAGTTACATGGGCGCAATAATTCATGGCTTAAAAGTTTTGTTATTAGGGGCTTTAACTCTTTTCATGCTTCTGGTTCCAAGGGATGTTGGGGGGTTCTGGGAAACTTATTGGGATTTTTAAGCTGAATGACGATGGGAGCAGCTGATAATTGAATGGCCAGGAATAGAAGTATTCCAAACTTCAAATGGCACTTGTTTTAGAATGCAAGGTTCTATAGACTGTAGTGGCTCTTTCAGTGAAGTATGAGTTAAAACGGCTAGAAATTGAGGCCTTAACTGTAAATTAACTTGTAATTCTGTGAGTAAATCATGAGCCAGTATTGGAACAGGGCAGCTTGGCAAGATTAAAAAGGAGTGAGTAAAGGAATAGCCTTCCATTTTACAAGGGAGTGGTGGTGTGAAACAGCCTCATTGAGGTTTTCCATCAATACCTGTAAGGAAAATGGAGGACTGGCACATTGGGATGTAATAAACGTTTAAAGCTGAATAACTGGCCCCTGTATCTATACGGAACATTATTTCTTGTTCAGCCGCAATCAAATTTACCCAAGGCTTGTTCACAGAGATGGAAAAGATAGGGGCCTGGACGGCCTCAAGGCCCCATCAGTCATCTAGAGGACGACTTTCAGAGGCTTGATCATAATCCAGGAATAAAGTTAGAGGTGCTTGTCCTTGCCCTTTCTCTTTCCCTTGCCCTTTCCTGTCCTGCAGGATCCCCTTGTTGGGAGGTTGGCGAGGTTGTGGCTGTGACAGCCCGGAAGGAAGAGGTGGCCTTCCTCATGAGAAGAGAGAGGACACTTGCTCTTCCAAGGACCCTCTTGTTTGCAATGAGGACAGGGTCCTGGAAGTGGCTTGTAACCTGGCGGTTTGGAACATTCTCTACTCCAGTGTCCTGGATTTCTGCAGCAATGACAGGCCCCCATTCTGTTAGTAGTGTAGGGATGAGCCTTGGGGTTATTAGATGAAGAAAAAGAATGTGCCAAGGCTGTTGCCATGTAATTAGCTTAGTGATGGCATTCTTCCTCCTCCAATTCAGCCTTTTTTATTTTTGATGTTTTCTCCTGGTTATTGAAAACCTCAAAGGCTGTATTTAATAAAATAGGAAAGGGAGTTTGTGGGCCTTGCTCTAATTTTTGGAGTTTTTGTCTTATGTCTGGGTAAGCCTGACTTACAAAATGTACAGCGAGAATGGATTGGCCTTCAGGGCTTTCAGGGTCTAAATTTACATATTTACGCATGGCCTCCACCAATCTAGCTTGGAAAAGGGTGAGGTTCTCAGACGGCTCCTGGGTGACTTCTTGTAATTTAGAAAATTTAACAGGTCTTAGTACAGGCTTTTTCATTCCTTCCCACAAGCAAGTTATCATATAATCTCATCCGGCCCTGCCTCTGTTTGGGCCGACATCAGCAGCCTGATACAGCCAATTGGTTTCTGTGTCAGGGACAGCTTTCGTCCCAGCTTTATTATCATTAGGATTGCGAGCATGAGCTGCATGTGCCCAAGCTCAAGCTAAAGACCATATGTGTGATATTTCTTCATGGGAACAACAAATAGTTAATACCACCAATATGTCTTGCCAGGTTAAATCAAAGGCAATAATTAAAGCCCAAAATTCTTGAATGAACTTAGAGGGATTCTGGCTAAATGACTCCAGCTTGGATTGAATTTGTGAAAGATCAGACACTGGAAAAGGAACACGAACTCGAATTGTTCCCATATCTCCATTTGCCACCTCGTGGAGAGGCAAAATATTTTGGGGGTTTTCTGAGGACTCTGTACTAGTGGCATAGGTAACTCCTCTGCAAGTATGTGAGGAGGATAAATGTATCTGGATATGGAGGTTGACTGGGGGATGGAGCAGATAGAGAGGGTGTAGGTGAAGCAGGAGCAGGCTGAGGATGTGATAGGCAAAAGGAAGGATCATCTAAGACATCAGAATCAGAGAGAGAGGAAATTCCTTGAAATCGTATGTGACTATTTTTATGTACTTTGGGATTTTGGGATAAAGCTAAAAAGACCTGAAAAGATGAGACCTCTGAATACAAAAGAAAATTACACACTTCTTTTGAGAGTTTGTGAGTTAAAATGGGACCAGTTTTTAAGAATGCAACCCAAGGGTGAGAAGGAATGAAATGAAGAATGAATTGAACCCATGTTGGGTTTTGATAAGGGACTACAAGATCGCTGAGGCATGCCTGAGGGATTTGGACCTTCCTTTTCCCTTTGGCTCACTCTATCCAGGGGTAGAGGGCATTCCCTTGCCTGGATGACCAGACCAGGCGTGCCCTTGTTTGAGTGGTCAGCTCAAACCTAATGTGATGGAGAACTCATCTGTAACTTGGGATCTAGTGCCTATGACAGAGTTGAATCCAAAAGTGGGTCTGCAAACAGTGGAGTGCGTCCGCGCAGAGGTGAGATCACTGCTGCCCGTTTCCAAGGCACAGTTTACAGAGTGTTAAGTGAAAGTGGACTTGCTACCCTAACAGGCAATAGCAAATTCACTCTTTTGTCTTCGCCTTCAGGTAACGTGGGGGAGTGCCCTCGGCCAGAAACCCTCAATTGCCAAAGGGTACTCAAACTAGTTCACTGGCAGTCTGAAAATAGAAAAGAACCCTAAGGGCAACGACAGACAGGTATCCCTTCTCTAGGGCTTCAGAATCCCACGAAGAGTAGCCTCGGCCAGGGACTGTCAATTCCCAAAAGTAAAGAACCATCGAGCGAAGCAGGGAGGAAAAAGCAGGGAAAAAAGAATGGAGAAATCCCAGTAAAGTCCACATAATGGGTCACCAAGATGCTGGATGATGTGTCAGAGCCCTGGCACTGGGAAGTGGTCGACTCACAGGTTGGTAAAAAGAATTTACCAACAACAGTATAGGTTTGAAAAAGCAAAGTTCATTACAAAGAAAGAACGCTCCAAAAGGGTGCAGCGGGGTGCCTCAGCAAGAGGACTAAACACACTGTGGTGGATTTTCCTTAGGGGTATTTATGACTTTAAGGAGGGAATTTAGGATTGTAAAATGAGTTTTGGCATGGCATTCCAGAGATGTATAGAAATTTTAGTTACTCATAAAAGTTGAAAGAGGCCTGGAACTAGATGCAAACAGGTGGTCTTTGTTCCTTTCTAAATTCCTCAGATAAGAAGTTTTTGTCTCCAGGACCTCTTCAGTGGTCACCAGGTGATTTTCACTCTCCTCAGTCCCCACACAAATCTCATCTTGAATCGTAATCCCCACTGTATCAAGGGAGGGACCTGGTGGGAGGTGACTGGACCATGGGGGTGGTTTCCCCCATGCTGTACTCGTGATAGTGAGGGAGTTTTCACGAGATCTGATGGTTTTAAAAGCGGCAGTTTCCCCTGCGCACTCTGTCTCTCCTGTTGCCTTGCGAAGAAAGCGTTTGCTTCCCCTCTACTTTCTGCCATGATTTTAAGTTTCCTGAGGCCTCCCCAGCCATGCAGAACTGTGAATCAATTAAGCCTCTTTTGTTTATAAATTACCTATTTTATCTATAAATTGTTTATAAATTATAAGTTTATAATTTATAAATTATAGTATCTTCATATAATTTATATATATAATATATAAAATATATATAATATATATAAATTATATTAAATTTATATAAAGCTAACATGTTTTTTGTGGATACACATAAATATATATTTATATATAAAATGTATATTTATATATTATTATATAACAGCATTTATATATATTATATATTATATATAATTTCTATAATTATATTTAATTATATAATTATATAAATTATAAATTATAGTATCTTAATAGCAGTGTGAAAACAGATTAATACAATAGCCATATGTAGAAGAATACATCTGGATACACATTTCTCAGCATATACAAAAATTAAAAGTTCTTGTCCTTGACTTGGAAAACTCTGGATTTAAATCTGACCTCTGTCACTTTACTATCTATATGATCTTGAGTAAGTTACTTAACCTCTATGAATCAGGATACCTATGTCATAGGGCTACTGTGAGAATTAAATAATGTAATATATGTAAGGGATTGAGTATAGTGAGCACTCAGTAACTACAAACAAAAATAGTAGTAAGAGGGGAAAGGTAAATAGAAGCTTGCTAAGAATGGAGGGAGGAAAGTTTGAATGCAAACGTACTAAGGCAAGAGCACATGGTATCTTCAGGGAACAACAAGAAAAACATAAGACCTGAGCAGAGATTTAATGGGGAAGAATAGTGGAGAGGAAGTTGGTAGGCTGATACAAAGGATATCATACTAAAGGTTTAGATTTTTTTTTTTTTTTTGAGATGAAGTCTTGGTGTGTCACCCAGGCCGGAGTGCAGTAGCATGATCTCAGCTCACTGCAACCTCTGCTGCCCGGTTCAAGCAATTCTCCTGTCTCAGCCTCCTGAGTAGCTGGGCCTATAGGTGCATGCCACCATGCCCAGCTAATTTTTGTATTTTTAGTAGAGGCAGGGTTTCACCATATTGGTCAGGCTGGTCTCGAACTCCTGACCTCAGGTATTCACCCGCCTCAGCCTTCCAAAGTGCTGGGATTACAGGTGTAAGCCACTGTGCCTGGCCAAGGTTTAGATTTTATTCTATAGTTTATGGGCAGTCTGAAAAATTATGAATGCAAAGGAATACTCTAATGGTAATATGGAAAATTTATTTTCTCAGGGATATATTAATAATGATATTTTCCTTTACATGGTTACTTTAAAAGATTTGCTGCTTCCCTAAGAGTGATTTTTATCATTCCTTGGAAGCTAACATATTTTCTGTGGATACATCTGTTTGTTAATAGAGGCAATGAAAAAATTGGACTTGAGATTTTTACATGAAACCTTAAAAAATATTTATTCCTTGTACAGAATTATATCTGTTTTCATGTGCAGCCAAGGTCATATGGTATGGATTCAGTGGCAATCGTGAGCCCTTATATTTATAGCACAAGTAATAGGATAACAAGGACAGAAGTAAGAAGTAATAGCCTAAATGGACAACCTATAAAGATTACATTTTTGGACACAGCTTTACCTTGGCCATATTTCTGTTCCATAATGGGTTAAATCCAAATTTACAAAACAACTATGGTATAACAGATTGGAGTGACTGGTGACACAGTCAGTCTAACTGCATGCTCTACAATCAGTCATGAAAATAATGAGTATGGACACATAGGCCATGCTTCAATTCTCTGGCTGCCAACTAACATAGCCATGGCATATGGGCAATTGTGGCATTCAAACGTATATAATTTAATTGTCTTGATTACAGGTAATAGTAAACAGAAAATAATAGTGCTAAATAACAATACCCTAAACTAATCAGGGCACATCTCTGCAAATCACTTCACTGCACTGCTGTACAGACTGTTCCCTATCTTAAAAATTATAAGACATCCCAAATTACCGTGCAGTATTCATCATCAAACTGCTATTTGATAATTGTTATTACATCAAAGACCAGAGACAAAGATCAAAGAATAAGAACTACAGTTGTCTCAGCCTACATATTGAAGCCCATCCCAATTCTCACTAACTTTCCGCGTTGCCTGTACACCACAGTGATAAATGTCTCAGGCATCTAGATATGGATTTTAACTCTGGAGGAAAGCAAAAGTTTTCTTGTGGACCCCATTTATTTTGTAATAAAGGTTGTGTTATTTGTAGGTCTTAGTAGTCCTAATTTCTACAAAGTTCTATAGGAAATAAAAGGATAAAAAGAGACTTTAAAGAGACCTTGATCCCAGCTCCTAGATCTTTCTGGCAATCATTCACTCTGGGTTCTGCCATCACAAAGGACCTTATCTAAGAGTCCAGCCAGTCTGATCAAATAGCTCTTCTTTAAATGTCTGATACATTTGCACATGCAATTCCTTTCTTACCACAATCCTCACTCTTCAGCACAGATATTTACTTGGCAAAGGCCCTGTTATTGATCAAGAGCCAGTTCAAGTGTCTCCTTCTCTATTTTCTAAGAGACAATTTAAAACCCTCATAGGAGACCTCTACTTTTGCACTTATCACACCATGTCATAATAATTTGCTTGAAATATTTTTCTCATTTATCAGGCTATAAACATTTATTTTTATAATCTCAACTCCCATTAAAATGTCTGCTGCAAGGTGAGTGCTTAATAAATATTTTTCTGTTTATTTATGCTATGTCTTCTTTCAAAAAGAATTGAGTATGGAATATATAGATGCATTTAGTGGAATGAGATTTTTTCTAAAAAAAGAAAGCAAAGAAAAAGTGTTTAACAGATTGACTGACTAAAGATCTAAAAAAAATAATTAATGTTCAGGAATTTAGGAGTGGTATGTTTTTCCCAATTTTAGAATCAATAGGGGAGAAAATAAGAATTAAAAAAAAAAAACCTTCCTTAAAACTTTAAGCCTGCACACTTTATGTGAAATATAAAAAGGTTATTTAAACTTTAAATCACTGGAAGAAATAAAGTAAATTCTTTTGATTATTGTAAATGTTTGTTCTGTGCTTAAGTCACCAGTCTCCATTTTTGCCATTCACATCTAAGCTTCAACATTTTAATTAAACGGCTAAGCAGTTGAATCATATGTCTAATAACATCAAAAACTATCTTCTACACCTATTAACAAACTCAATACAAAGGCAGCCCTGCTCAGAATAGGAAAGTAGGCAGTTTGTCGTGGTGTTTGCCTCTCTTCCATATTAGGGACTCTTCCAGGGCATAGGTTAAACACAAATAATTTTCTAAGAGACAACTTAAAACAAGAGAACAGCAATTAAAAGCAAATAACTAAGAAGGAAATGAAGAAAAAAAGATAACATAACTATATCAGAAAAACCAGTCTGAGAGAGGCTACCACAATTGAAAACAGAACTAAGCACGAAGCTTTCTGGCAAAAAAAGAAAATACATAGGCAGAGTGTGGCGAGTGAATCATATAAGATAATTAAAGAAAGTACAAGATCATCAAAATAAACACTTTCAGAGTTCTGAAAATTATTTACCTTTTTGTAATATTGATGATATTTTCCATAGAAGTGATAAAACCTTCAGAGATGCTCTTCCTTTGGCAATTTCTTATATCAGTTTAATTCCTCATTTCAGTTTCACACACCCTCTGTACTCTCTCAACAATCCATATCTTTTTATACACCATTTCCTCTGAGTATAATGCTTTTCCTTGTTCATCCTTGCCTGGATTGCTCCTTACTGATCCTAAGGTGTCAGTCGCTGTAGGAAACCTTTTGTCATTCATCTCCCTCCCTGGTTGTTCACAGGGGTGTTGAGGTCTCTCTCTCTATCTCTCTCACACACACACACGCACACACGCTTGAAAGCGCACACATGCGTACACACACACACACAGGCATAGGCTAAGTATCGCTTATCATGCTACCATAGCATCTTGGGCATACAGCTATCCTAACATTTGCAGATGCTATGCATAAAAAGTAGTTTATGGGCTGGTGGTGGTGGCTCACGCCTGTATTTCAGCACTTTGGGAGGCCGAGGCTGGGGGATCACTTGAGGTCAGGAGTTTGAGATCAGCCTGGCCAACATAGTGAAACACCGTGTCTACTAAAAATACAAAAATTAGCCAGGCGTGATGGCATGTGCCTGTAATTCCAGCACAAGGGAGGCTGAGGCAGGAGAATTGCTTGAACCTGGGAGGAGGAGGTTGCAGTGAGCCAAGGTTGTGCCTCTGCACTCGAGCCTGGGTGACGGAGTGAGATTCTGTCAAAAAAAAAAAAAAGAAAGAAAAGAAAAGAAGTTTATGAATGAACAGGAGAAAGTTGACTGTTGCTTGTGGCACTTATTCCTTGTCACGCTCTTCCTAGTAGCCCTTAGTTTCTTTATCTTTACAATGAAGGATTGGGCTTGGGGTCTTTAAAGATCCCTTCCAATTTAATTATTATATGATGATGTTTATTGTTTTGTTTAAAGAATTTAAGATGGCTGAAGTAGCAGTAAGGAAACTAGCAGAAATAATAACAGGGAGACAAAAGCAGACACAAAAAAAGCGCTAACCATGACCTATGTCATCTATGGCCAGAAGAGTCAAACAAACAAAAAACCCTTGGCCTATTAGGAAGATTTTGTCATATTCCAGGATTAAGTGAAATCATTATACAAAGTGCCTAGCACAGTGCTTGCTAGTTCTGTATCCCTTTCTTATTCCCTGCATGGTAGGATTGACTAAAAGAAAGAAGTGTTCTAGGGATCATATAAAAGGCATAAAAATATCCCTACTAAGCAGGAACAAAGGTATTAGGAAAAGTAAAGATTAAAAACACAAAAATTATTATTAATAATATTTGTACAGCACTCTTCAATCTAAGTACTTTAATATAAATTAATGCCCTTGTGTTTTACTAATTAACTATAAGTATTTTTAATTATTATTTCTTTAATTGTAATATTTTCTAAAATTCTACAATTCTGTAGATTCTAAAATTCTGTAATATTCTAAAATATTGACTTGTCAAAAGATAAACCAATAGATCATAGTTTATACTAATAATTTCTATTAATATTATAGCATTGGGAATTAATATGCTATGCTATGCAACTTTCAGCATGAGGGTTAGGATACGAAGTCACAGGAAAGAGCAAGATGTTATTGGTTTCTACTTTGCTGAAAGCGTAAAAATAGTTCAACTCTTTTGGAGCTTTAATTTAACCTAATTGTTATCTAATTTTATAGTAGCAAAGTTTCTCATTTAGCTGCTATCTTCTTTTACCAAAATGAGCATTCAGATGAAAAAGCTTACACTATCTTTTCAGCCTGGGTTTTTTGCTTTGTTTTATATTTAATATTTATATTAAATATTTGCAGCAGGCATAAATTTTTTAAGTACATGAAAATAGCACAAATAACTTAAATCCCATATCAAGTCTATTCCAGTTGATAGAAGCAGATGGTGAAAATGGGAAATTTGAGGTCTTAAAATACAGTTTTAAACAGCTAAGATATTGCCAGTTGGTTTTAGATAACTTTGGGTTGTACAAATAGAAAAATATTTGTTTAGGTTTAAATTGTTCTTTCTTCCATTGAGATTTTATTTAGTGATATCATAATTATTAATCCATTTCACATTTCTAGTCTTGAAACTTAATTTTCTAGAAATTTTATTAAAGTACAGGTACATTAGATTGGAAGAAATAGCAAATTGATTGTAGTTTTAAAAGCAATTTACTAGCAGAAAATATTCAGCAGAGAAAACATCTAAATCTAGGAGAGCATGTTAATCCATTTTGTGTTGCTATACAGTAATACATGAAACTGGGCAACATACACAGAAAAAATATTTATTTGGCTTAAAGTTCTACAGGCTGTACACAAAGCATGGCACCAGCATCTGCTTCTTGCAAGGGACTCAGAAAGCTTACAATCATGGCAGAAGGTGAAGAGGGAGGAGGCATGTCACACACTGAGAGAGCGAGCAAGAGAGAGGGGGAGGTGACACACTCTTTTTAAACAACCAGATATCAAGTGAACTCAGAGTGAGAACTCACTCATTACCTCAAGGAGGGCACCAAGCGATTTATGATGAATCTGCCTGCCAAATACCTCCCACCAGGCTCCACCTCCAACTAAATCACATTTCAACGTGAGATTTAGAGGAGACACACAAAACTATATCAGAGATATTAAACAGAGCACAAGTATGTTTACCTTTAATGTCGTGCATTATAATCTGATTTAAAATGTAAAAGTATAGGGCAATAAGCTTTAAAAAATAAGTAGCCAGAATTTCACACTATTTTTAACCTCCTCATTCCCTAAATCATAGCAATAATCTTATCCAAAGATAAAACCATTTTGCAGAATGCAAACATTATATGCCTTCTCCCTCTCTTCATGTTTTTAGCCCAGAACATAGAAAAAAATTAAATTCTATCCAAGATGGAGACAGGGGCATTGTGAGTCTTGAGAAGAAACACTTTAATACCTCTGGGCTCACAGTGGCCATTGGGATGAGGAGTTACTCATCTGATCAGTCAGAATCTGACTTTTATGGAGCTACATTTGCTAGTATATAGTAAAGTCACATTAAAGGTCAATGTTCATGCATAGCATGTCCTCTTGGCCTCTGTTTTACTTCCTGGATTTGTATTATCAGTATAATAAGAAAGCCAAAGCTTGGTCCTTTTACCCACATGTGGAAGGAGGCTAGCTCTTTCTTCTCTGTTCTCTTTTCAATGTAGTAGTAAAATATATTTTAAAATCTTGTTTGTATCCAAAATTTTAATTTTGCATCTTTATTTTCTAAATTAAGGCAGCTATTTATGAATAAGATAACATTTTAAAAATCATCAATGTTAAAATATGCTGAAACATTTTGCTTTATCATTCATACAGAGTAAATCTCTGTATAATAATTAAGCATTGTACAGCAACAGCAGTACTAAGAGAGAAATTCATAGCAGCGTGAAAGGAAAATAAATCTTGGGACGCCCCAAATCACTAAACCAAAGCAAAAATCAACCTGGGACCTGCTTAGGGTAAACCTGTCTCCTATTCTATTTCTAAAAAATATAGCTACTAAGATTAAAAAGCTACATACTTCCTTCACAAGGAATTTCCTTGTGGACAAAGAACAGACAAAATTCAAAGTCATCCCTCTGCTCACTGAGATAAATGCATATCTGATGGCCTTCTTTGGAAAGGCTACTCAGAAACTGAAAAGAATGCAACCATTTGTCTCTTACCTACCTATGATCTGGAAGCCCCCTTCTCTCTTTCCCACTTCAAGTTGTCCCACTTTTCCAGATGGAGCCAATGTACATCTTACATATATTGATTGATGTCTCATGTCTTCCTATAATGTATAAAACCAAGCTGTGCCTTGATCATGTTGGGCACATTTCAGGACCTCCTGAGGCTATGTCATGGGCAAGTGTCTTTAACTTTGGCAAAATAAACTTCCTAAATTGACTGAGACCTGTCTCAGATATTTGGGGTTTACATTTGGTAACCATGAAGGGATTCTGAGTGGAAGTGCTCCTTACCTTTGACAAGTTCCCTATGGGTGCTTGGTACCAGCTTGAGCTATTTTTATGACTCCAAACAACAGGACAATTTGCTGAGGTCTGGGAGCATCCCCTCCAGAGAATCCCTGATCTCCCCAAATTTGGTTGAGGTCTAACTTTATTTTGCTTTACAACTCCTTTCTTTTGGAATTGTACTTGCTTCCAACAAAGAAGGCAAGTTTTCCTGTTTCCATGATGATGGAAGGCAGGTAACTCCTTTCTGGAGATTGAGCTCACTTCCAACAGGGAAGGTGAGTTTGAGTTTCTTCATGCTTCTAGGATGGTAGAGAGTAGTCTTCAGCCTGAGAGCCATCCCTAGGGAAGTAGCTGAATTGGGGTTTTCCTGGCTAAAGTTAAGTTTAACAACCAGCTGGTCTTAATTTCTCCTTACCACCCAAGTGCTCATAATCATATTGGGGAGATTCATTTTGTTGTTTGTTCCTGTCTTACTCCTGTCAAATTTGACCAACTCTACCTGACTTGGTCAAATCTGAATGATAATTCCAAATTACGGGTAACAAGGAAGGCCTCTCTGAATTCACTAAAATTCCTTGCAGCTGCAAACAAGGAAAAAGAAAACAAAACCAACCAAACAAACAAAAAAACATGTGCTTGGTATCTGTGTTTGTTTCAGGTCTAAGAAAATTTTTCTTTCTTTTACTTTTCTTCCACCCTGTACCTTCTTCCCCTTTGCCACCTTCAGTACTGAGAAAAATTTAGAGAGAAGGCTTCTAACGACTCAAACCCTTTACATAACTCAGAACAAAGATATCACTCACCCCTTTTGGGGTATTCTGTTTTCTTTGTGGAGTTTTAAGAGTCATGGGCAGATTCTTCTTAGGTCTAAAACTCTGCTTTCCCGTATTGCATTACCTGACCTCTTTAGTTTTGAGGGTACCAGAGATTATCTTGTACTGCGATAGGATTTAGCCTTGGTGTGTGTAATGCAGAATGAAAGGTATGAAGTTAGGGGAGGCTGAGGACAATTTACAGGAAATGGTCTTGGCTGTTTTTTGTTTTCTTTTCCTCTCCTAGGAAGTCATTGTTTAGGGATCCAACTTCTAGTTCAGGGATGCGTTCTTAAGGGGCTTCTCCATTGCTTTTTCTCCCAAAATTAATCTCGATTTGGCTTGTCTGTGTGCATTTGCTAAGGAACTGAACTGTTGTTTTCATAGGTAAATAAGAGACTGAGTTTCCTCAGCTCTGAAGAAAAAGGGTATTCCGCCCCTCCCAGCTGAAATGCACCCCTGGATGACCTGAGGGACTCATGGGAACGTCTGGGGAGTTGACACCCTGCGATGTGTAGTGGTCCTACAGGAACTCTGAAAAAAATTAGTTTTTAAAAGCCTTATCTAGGAAGTTCATATGGGCATGGTCACTCAGCACTTTGAGCCCTCCTGGAGGTGCTTAGACCTCCAGAGAGAGAAACAGTGACAAGTAAGAGGGCAGTAACAACTCAGTAGTAACACACGGTGAAGTCCTGCCTGCAACCAGCACACACTCTGACCCACTCTACAAGAACCCTAGACCACAGCTCAGTTCCTCCTTTTAAGAAAAAACAAAAAGCAAAACAAAAATAGAAAAGTGGGAAACAAATAAGAATGAGGAGCAAACAAGGAGAATGACCCGCCTTTTGGGCACTCCATTGGTTTTATAGCATCTCTACTTGCTACAGTTTGTGTAAAATGGAAATATCATGGTCTTTGTGCACATCTACATCAAGGAAAAAGAGCCCTAAGGTTGACCTGCAAACTATAGAGTTCCTAAGTTATCTTTTTTCCTATTTTCTTTTCTGCCTGCTTTAAAGCTGCTGTTACTTTTCTATGATAAAATCCACAGTTTGCATCCAGCCATTTCTTTTTTTGCAAACCAATGAGTTTGTATTAATATATCATGGCTAGAGTTATGAAGTAAAAGCTATATGATCTTTGGTTCTATGAGGGTGTGAGTGTGTATGTATGTGTTTATGTTTATGTACAAGTGTTTTGGCCACAAGGTAGTAAATTGACTTAAAGAGCACTCATAAATTAAATAAAATTAAATAATAAACCCAAATGCTTCTCAAGTTCACATGACTTAAGTAAAATCTTTTATAAGCTAGCTATAAAATTACTGGTAAAGTAATATTAGAAATGTCTTAAGAATTGCCAGCATACATTTTGTTTGCATTTATTCATCAAGCAATTTCATACTTATCCCTGCCAAATACTATAAGGTGTCAACATTTGGCATAAGGATTATAAAATTATAACCCCAACCCCAAACGGAATGATTTTTGCTTGTGTAATTTTTGATAAATAAAGACATTAATACTGGTTTAATGAAAATAACTAAATCTTGAATTATTTTGTAAGTAACTGATATGATTTGGCTTTGTGTCCCCACCTAAATTCATCTCAGATTGTAATCCTCATATGTCAAGGGAGGGACCTGGTGGGAGATGATTGGATTATGGGCGTGGTTTCCCCCATGCTGTATTCATGATAGTGCAGAAGTGCTCATGAGATCTGATGGTTTAAAAGTGGCAGTTTCCCCTGTGCTGTCTCTCTCTCTTGCCTCCTACCATGTAAGACATGCCTTGCTTCCCCTTCACCTTCCACCATGATTGTAAGTTTCCTGAGGCCTCTCCAGCCATGTGGAACTGTGAGTCAATTAAACCCCTTTTGTTTATAAATTACCTCTCAGGTAGTAGCTTTATAACAGTGTGAGAACAAACTAATACAATAACCATATATTTAATTTTAAGGTTCTTACTTAAACAAACACCTGAAAATCACAGGCTATCAAATGGTTGACAGGGAAATAACTGTAACTGCCCAATGGGTTCACCTTGCCTGCTGCCTAGACAGAGCCAATTTATCAATACAGAGGAATTGCAATAGAGAAAGATTAATTCACACTGATCCAGCTGTGTGTGAGAGACCAGAGTTTTACTGTTTTATTTTTATTTATTTTTTGAGATGGAGTCTCGCTCTGTCACCCAGGCTGGAGTGCAATGGTGCAATCTCAGCTCACTGCAACCTCCACCTCCTGGGTACAAGCTATTCTCCTGCCTCAGCCTCCTGAGTAGCTGGGATTACAGGCATGCACCACCTGTTAATTTTTGGCTAATTTTTGTATTTTTGTATTTTTAGTAGATACAGGGTTTCACCATGTCCGCCAGGTTGGTCTCAAACTCCTGACCTCATGACCCACCCACTTTGGCCTCCCAAAGTGCTAGGATTACAGGCATGAGCCACTGTGCCCAGCCCAGAGTTTTATTATTACTCAAATCAATCTCCCTGAGAATTCAGGGATCAGAGTTTTTAAGGACAATTTGGTGGATTGGGGGCCAGTGAGTCAGGAATTCCGATTGGTTGGGTCAGAGATGAAATCACAGGGAGTAGAAGCTGTCCTCTTACACTGAGTCAGTTCCTGGATGGGGATCACAAGACCAGATGAGCCAGTTTATTGATCTGGGTGGTGCCAGCTGATCCATTGAGTGGAATGTCTGCAAAATATCTCAAGCACTGATCTTACATTTTACAATAGTGATGTTATCCCCAGAAGCAATTTGGGGAGATTTAGAATCTTGCAGCCTTCAGCCACATGACTCCTAAACCACAGTTTCTATTCTTGTGGCTTTAGATAGTCCCCAGGCAGGAAGGGGGTGTGTTTTGGGAAAGGACTGTTATCATCTTTGTTTCAAAGCTAAACTATAAACTAGTTCCTCCCAAAGTTAGTTCAGCCTATGCCGAGGAATGAACAAGAACAGCTTGGAGGTTAGAAGCAAGATGGAGCTGGTTAGGTCAGATATCTTCACTGTTTCAGTTATAATTTTACAATAGTGGTTTCATAACTTTAAATGAGAACTTTCACAGTTTTCATAAATAATCTAGGTAAATTATTAACATAAAATAACTAGGTAAATGTAATGGGATAACTACTTGGAAACAAATGTCATAATTTAGAATCTAAAGTTAAATTAAATAATGAATAGTTTGTTAATTGGATATTTTCCAATAAAAAAAATCATAAGAAAACATTCTTTCTAAAAATGTGTGTTCTTATAAAAAGGTAAAAATGTTTGCCATTCAAAGCTTATTTAAAGGTTATATATAAAACAAGGTAAAAGGAACCAGGAAATGAGAGAGATATAAAGAAAGTTATAGAGATAAAGAGGTATCATTGGTAAGAAAGCTTAAAGAAAAATAATTTTATATGAGAAATAATCTTGTGTGGTAAATTTTGTCCTCTAATAGAATAACTGGTTGTTTAAGAAAGATGTTCAGGACAAACTAGAAAGTCTAAGCATGTCATGAATGGTCTGTGTAAGTCATAATGAGAGGATTATGAAAAAAATTATATGATCAAATTGTCTCTAATTAAAGAGAAATTATAATGGTCCTTCTAGAGGTTGGGTTTGATTTTAAAAACTTAAACACTGAGGAATTTCTTCAAATATGTAAACTTCTTAAGGTATTGCTTTACTCTTAATAAATTACAAGACATTATAATTTTTTATGCAAAGTTCAACTTTTATTGTGTCTTGTTGTTTTCAGCTTTCTCTCCCCTTTTAAGAGGCCTGAAATGGTAACTCTATCCATCAACTCATTTTCAGCTCCTGTGAGTTGTTTTTTTTTCCTTTAGGTTCTAATTGTTGTGGCCTGACACTGAAAAACAACAAACAAGTCATATCTTAAGGAAGAAGGAAGGTTGGAAGGAAATGTTTCCTTCCAACATAATATTCCCTATAGGGAATAGCAGGTAAACTGCAGGAGGTCTTTTCTTTTGCCTTTGGGTAACTGGCCTAATAAATAGATCTTAGCTTTATTGAAATAATTCCTATGTCGTTATTACTAAGTTTGGTTTGCTTAGGAAAAACTGAGATTAATTTTTTTTTTTGAATTGAGGTTATTACATCCATGTAACTTTCTGTATGTGCTTTTAAAGTCCTTGTGCCATAAGTTATAGGGCTTTGACTCCTGGGTCTAAAAAGGACACCAAGTCCTGCTAAATCTTAACGCTGATAGCAGTTAAAGCCTCATATTCAAACCCAGTAGAAGATGCCAATCAAAATAAACTTCGTTCATGAAACACAGGGCCAAAAATTAAAGCCATTCAACTCCTCAGGGCCCAGGGACTATCACAGAAGAGGTGGGTGCATGAGATTATAGGGGCCAATTTTGAGAGATGAAATAAATTCATTCATAAGTTCATTCATTCTCTATGAATTAACCGTTAATGTCAAAGGCACACTGATGTAAAACTAGCATATGGGCCCCTCTGTCAGATTAACAAGGTTTTCTTGAAGAATTAACCCACTCCTTAATAGAGGTTATAAAGGCTTATGGAAATTATATCTTATCATTGATGACTAAAATGTTATAGATTGTTTATAAATTTTTGAAAAACAAAACTAATTGTCCTCTTGCTATTTTTATTAAGGCTTATTGTTTGTAAAATTAACTCTCCTCTCTCAAAGGATAAACGTTTTTGGCTTTTGGTGGTAATCTTTGAGTTATCACTTTGGTTAAATAAATGACTTATTTTACAATGACCTGTGATCCTATTTTGTGATATCAGTGTTTTAAACCTTTGATACTTGACAAACTTTCCAAAATCAAATGATAAATTATGTATTTTTTCTGACATAATTAATCCTTTAAGATATTAGTTTCCCTAAAGTCCAAAAATGACATATTTGGCTTATTCGATATAAAAATCTTACTGGAAGCATTGTCAAATATGAAATGGTGTTTGGCTTTGTTTGGGTTTTATTTGTATAAATATTTTATTGGCATGTGTTCCAAAATTATGAGAAACACCTATAATTCTGATACAACTTAGTGTACATTATCAGTAATAATTATAATTGTTATGCTAAATTATTATTTACCACAGAGGTAACAAATTTCCTTGTCAATTTTGTCTTTGACTGTGGCTGCCCTAACACTTTTTGTCAGCTATGGACATTTGTTGTTTGGTTTTGGTCCTCTTTAGAAGGTAGTTTTATAATCAGCTATGAAACTCTAACAGGTGTTCTTGAATGCAAGGTTCTGATAACTTTGGAGATTGTGACATTAGAAGAAAAACTTTCAGGAGTCTCATGGAGAGCTTGAATGTTCATGAATATCAAGCAGAACATGCATGGCCTGAACTAAGAGAAGACTGAAGTAATCATTTTTGACTTTTTTGCTTACAACATTGCCGATCAACCAGCATAGCACATGTTTACCTATGTAGCCAACCTGCACATCCTGCACATGTATTAAAGTAAAATAAAATAAAATAACAAAAAACTTAAAGTAAAATAAAATAAAATTTAAAAACCCACAAAAAATGTTGCTAATCCTTTGTTTTGATTTTCAGAATTAAGAAAACTAATGTGAGCTATTTACAGCTTGTAGCAATTGAAGAAAGTACACTACTGTGAACAAAATTTGGAGCATATTTCTTTCTCTCTACCTGATTTCTCCAGGGTTTGGAAACTATTTGTGAGTATTCTTAATTTACAGGAATATAGTTATTCGCATCAGTGCAATAAGCATGTGTTACAACTGGATACCATTAGAGAAACTGGTTATTTTACCAAGACTTTGACTGGAATGGTGTGCTTTCCTTAAGGAACCAAACTTGACTTATAGATCCAATAAAAGCCCATTGGGAAAACTGGCCTCATACCTTGTCTCCTCAGTCCCTGTACAGGGTTTCTGATCTGTGGTAAGTAAAGAACGTCACTTTCTGAGAGGCCCAGGAGTCCCAAGTTATCCTGGGACCTCAAGAGGAAAAGAATTTACCCAACTCAATAGGTATTTGACGGTACAGAGCCATGACTGGGATCAGCTTTTAAAAAGACTTTCTGAGATTCCTTCTATAGAACAAAGTTCTATCAAAGCCAATTTAAAAGCCCATGTGAAAAATAATTATTCTTGCTGCACTTTATAAAAATAGTCGGGCCAAGTATAATAAAGTAAATCAGTCCTACCATGATTTGTCTTTAGTAAAAATGGGAAACGAGAGAGAGAAATTATGGATCAAAAACTATAGTACATCTGTTGTTAGATTCTAGTCTTGCCTAATGTTTTTCAATTTTTATTATTTTCTTCAGCTTAGACTGAATTCTAATTTTTCCTGGCTATAAGTCTCCAAAATAATCTTTTCAATTTTTTTCTTCTTTTTCTTTTTCCCCTATTTTTGCTGATTTAAAATCACTGAAAGCTAAGCTATGCTTTCTTAAAGACTTGCAAACTGAAGCTAGATAACTTAAACTTCAGAAGAAAATAACAGCAGCCTATTTACACACATAAGCCACTTTCATACCTGCCTACTGATGTATGGGCTTCAGAGTAATCGAGTTTCCAGGATTGTTCTTTTTTTGTTTGTTGTTGTTTTTCTCCCTTCCTCACCCTAGTTTCTCTTTGTAGGATGTAAGACTTCACAACCTGCTAAAAATGAACTTTCCTAACAACATGGGACCTACCCGTCTAGGAATAAACTATTTTAACCATGAGAGATCAGACAAAATCTGAGACCAGAGACTCATTTTCTTCTAAAACGCTTTCTCTGAAAGATTTTAAAAAGAAAAGGTGGAAGTGTGAAAGGAAAATAAATCTTGGGATCTCCCAAATCACTAAGTCAAAGGGAAAAGTCAGGCTGGGAACTGCTTAGGGCAAGCCTGCCTCCCATTCTATTCCTAAAAAAGACAGCTATTAAGATTAAAAAGCTACATACCTCCCTCACAAGGAATTTCCTTGTGGACAAAGGACAGATAAAATTCAAAGTCATCCCTCTGCTGAGATAAATGCATATCTGATTGCCTCCTTTGGAAAGGCCAGTCAGAAACTCAAAAGAATGCAACCATTTGTCTCTTACCTACCTATAACCTGGAAGCCCCCTCCCCACTTTGAGTTGTCTCACCTTTCCGGACAGAACCAATGTACATCTTACATATATTGATTGATGTCTCATGTCTCCCTAAAGTGTATAAAACCAGGCTGTGCCCCGACCACCTTGGGCACATGTCATCCGGGCCTTCTGAGGCTGTGTCATGGGTGTGCATCCTTAACTTTGGCAAATAAACTCCTGAATTGACTGAGACCTGTCTCAGATATTTGGGGTCCACAGCAGTAAATGCATACATTGAAGAAATAGGATGATTTCAAATGAACAACCTAATAAGGCACCTCAAAGAACTAGAAAAGCAAGAACAAACCAAACACAAAATTGGTAGAAGGAAAGAAATAATAAAGATCAGAGCAGAAATAAATGAAATTGAGACAAAAATACAAAAGATCAATAAAATAAAAAGTTGGGCTTTTTTGAAAAAATAAAGAAAATTGACAAACCTTTAACCAGACTAAGAAAAAAGGAGAGAAAACCCAAATAAATATTAGAGATGAAAAAGGGAACATTACAACTGGTACCACAGAAATAAAAAATGTCATTAGAGACTGCTATGAACAACTATACACCAACACATTGGAAAACCTAGAAGAACTAGATAAATTCACAGACACATGCAACCTAACAAGATAAAATTATGAAGAAATAGAAAACCTGAACAGATCAATAACAAGTAATGAGATTGAAGCAGTAATAAAAGACATCTCCCATCAAAGAAAAGCCTGATGGATTCACTGCTGAATTCCACCAATATTTAAAGAACTAATACCAATTCTGCTCAAACTATTCTGAAAAGTGGAAGATGACAGAATACTTTTAAATTCATCCAATGAGGCCAGCAATACCCTGATAACAAAACCAAACAAAGAAACAACAACAAAAGAAAACTACAGGCCAATATTGCTGATTAACATAGATGTAAAAATCTTCAACACAATACTTGCAAACCAAATTCAAAAACATCTTCAAAAGATTATTCATCATGATCAAGTGGAATTTATCCTAGGGATGCAATAAATGCAAATCAATAAATATGATACATCACATCAACAGAATGAAGGACAAAAGCCATAAAACAAATTTGGTATAGAAGGAATATACCTCAACACAATAAAGGCCATATATTACAAACCCACAGTGAATATCATGTTAAAAAAAAATCAGAAGACTTTCCTCTAAAATCTGGAATCAGACAAGGGTGCCCACATGCACCACTTCTATTCAATATCATACTAGAAGTGCTAACCAGAGCAATTAGGCAAGAGAAAGAAATAAAAGGTATCCAAATTGGAGAGGAAGAAGCCAACTTATCCTTGTTTGCAGACAATATGATTTTATATTTTAAAAAGCCTAAATACTCCACCAAAGAACACTTAGAGCTAATGAACAAATTCCATAATGTTGCAGGATACAAAATTAACACCCAAAAATCAGTAGCATTTATAAACACTAACAGTGATCAATCTGAAAAAGAAATCAGGAAAGTAATCTCATTTACAATAGCTACCAAAAAATTACTAGTAATAAATTTAACCAAAGAAATGAAAGACTTCTACAAGGAAAACCATAAAACACTGATGAAAGAAATTGAAAAGTCACCAAAAAATAGAAAGATATCCCATGCTCATAGATTGGAAGAATTAATATTATTAAAATGTTTACACTACCCAAAGAAATCTACAGATTCAATGCAATCCCTATCAAAATGCCAAAAACATTCTACACAGAAATAAAAAATAAAATCCTAAAATTTGTATGGAACCTCAAAAGACCCCAAATAGCTAAAGCAATCCTGACCAAAAAGAATATAGCTGGAGGAATCATACTACCTGATTTCAAATATACTACAATACTATAGTAACCAGTACAGCATGGTACTGGCATAAAAACAAACACATAGACCAATGAAACAGAATAGACAACCCAGAAATAAATTCAAGCACTTGACACCCAACTCATTTTCGACAAAAGAACCAAGAACATACATTTGGAAAAGGACAATTTCTTTAATAAGTTGTGCTAGAAAAACTGGATATTCATATGCAGAAGGGTGTAATTAGATTCTCATCTTTCACCATATACAAAAATCAACTCAAAATGGATTAAAGGCTTAAATGTAAGACTTGAAATGATAGAACTACTAAAAGAAAACATTGGGGAAACACTACAGTACATTGGTCTGAGGAAAGAGTTTTGGATAAGATCAAAAGCACAAGCAACAAAAACAAAAATAGACAAATGAGATTACATCAAGCTAAAAATCTTCTGGACAGCAAAGGAAACAATCAACAAAGTGAAGAGATAACCCAACAATGGAAGAAAATATTTGTAAACTATCCATCCAACAAGAGATTAATAACCAGAATATACAAGGAACTTGACCAACTTAAAAGAAAAAAAAAAGACATGATCTTGTTCTTTTTGATGGTCGTGTAGTATTTCATGGTGTATATGTACCACATTTTCTTTATCTAGCCTATCACTGATTCCATGTCTTTGCTATTGTGAATAGTACTGCAATGAACATATGCATGCATCTGTCTTTATGATATAATTATTTACATTCCACCGGGGACATAACCAGTAATGGGATTGCTGGGTTGAATGGTAGTTCTGTTTTTCGCTCTTTGAGGAATTGCTGCACTGCTTTCCACGATGGTTGAACTAATTTAGACTCCCACCAACAGTGTATAAACATTCCTTTTTCTCTGCAACCTTGTCAGCATCTGTTATTTACATGGATGGAGCTTGAGGCCATTATCCTTAGCAAACTAATGCAGGAACAGAAAACCAAATACTGCATGTTCTTACTTATAAGTGGGAGCTACATGATGAGAACACATGAACACAAAGGAGGGGAACAACAGACATTGGGGCCTACCAGATGGTGGACGGTGGGAGGAGTAGGAAGAATAACTAAAGAGTACTAGACTTAATACCTGGGCAATAAAATAATTGTTACAACAAACCTCCGTGACACAGGCTTACCTATATAACAAACTGGCACTTGTACCCCTGAACTTAAAAGTTATTATAGAAAAAAAGGAAAAAGAAAATCTAACTTAAAAATGGACAAAAGACCTAAGTAGACATTTCTCAAAAGGAGACATACAAATGGCCAATAGGTGTATGAAACAATGTTCAATATCACCAGTCATCAGGGAAATGCAAATCAAAAACCATAATGAGTTGTCATCTTACCCCAGTTAGAATGGCTACTATCAAAGACAAAAAATAACAAATGCTGGCAAGGATAAAGAAAGGAAAACCCTTATACACCATTGGTGGGAATGTAATGTACATAGTACAGCCACTATAAAGAAAAGTATGAAGGTTCTGAAAAAGGCTAAAAATAGAACTACCATATGATCCAGCAATCCCACTGTTGAGTACATATTCAAAAGAAGGAAATTAATGTATCAAAGAGAGATTTGCACTCCCGTGTTTACTGCAGCATTATTCACAATAGCTAAGATGAAGAATCGACCTAAGTGTCCATCAATGGGTGAATGGATAAAGAAAATGTGGTATATATACACAATGGAATATTATTCAGCCATAAAAATCAATGAAATCATGTTATTTGCAGCAATATGGGTGGAATTGGAAGTCATTATGTTAAATAAAATCAGTCGACCACAGAAAGACAAATATTGCATGTTCTCGTGCCTTTGTGGGAGCTAAAAGCCTTTGGGAGGCTGAGGCAGGAGAATTGCTTGAACCCAGGAGGCTGAAGTTGCAGTGAGCTGAGATCATGCCACTGCACTCCAGCCTGGGTGACAGAGTGATTCTCCATCGCAAAAAATAAAAATAAAAAATAAAAAATAAATTATAGTATTCAATAGTACAGTAGCAAAATTATAGTTAATAATTTATTTTACATTTCAAAATAGCTAGAATGAAAGAATTATAATGTTTCAACACAAAGGAAAAATAAGTGTTTTAGGTGATTGATATCCCAATACTCTGATTTGATCATTACACATTGCATACAGGTATCAAAATGTCATATGTACCCCAAAAATATGTATTTTGGGGGTAATAAACATTTTTATTATATACCAATATAAATAAAATAAATTTTAAAATAAAAGCATTATTTATTATATTAGAAGACACATTATTCACTATTCCTTTAAAAGTTTACTAAACTATTGGAAAAAGTAGATTTATATTTTTTCCAGAAATTTAATGTTATTTCTTGTGCCATAAAAATTGCTATGTGATACTGAATTCCAGAAAAAAGTAAAATCTCACTTCACTTGTAAACAAATATTTATTGTATTTTTGAAAAATAAAAAGTAGTTAACTAAAAATAATGCTATTATTACCATAAGTTCTCATTTTGGTAACTACAAAAAAATAGAAAAGTGACATATTTTTTAGCTTGTGCCACTTTCTCATTATGAGTTCCTTGAAATCAGAAATTATATATTTCTCATTTTTTAATCTCTAGTGCCAATCACATGTTGTTTTCTGGAGAGATGGAATGGATGGATGGGATGGGTGGATGAATAAGAAAGAAGGAATGGATGGATAGGATGATGGAATAAATGAACAGATAGATAAAACAGATGTGGGGTTGTATGGAACAAATGGGATGGATGGATGGAATAAGTGGATGAAATTGATAAATGCATGGATGGAATGAATGAATAACTGAAGAGCTCAGAAGTTCCAGGGTTAGGTGAGTTATGGTACATGGATATTGCAGTGTAAGTGTCCATTAATTCACACAGTTACACTCATCTCTAGATGCCAAATATGTAATGCATAGTGAGGCTTACAGTGATGGAGGGGACACAGGTAGATAAATAAAAATAACAATACAATGTAATCAGTATTAGGACGGGGTAAGCATCAGGTGTTACAGGAGCATAGAACACTAGGGAGAGCTTTTAAAGAGACATAGTAATTAATCTGAATCTTGGTGAAGCTGATTTTGAACAGTATGACCTAAAACATTGCATGAGGAAGGCACATATGTACTGTATTAGCTCATTGGGAATAGTTGACTAGGTGGGCAAAAGTGGAGAGAAAACTCCAGGAAGATAAAGCAGTATGTGCCAAGGTACAGAGATATAAAACTCCATAGGATGGCCAAGAAACTACGAGTAATTTGGTATGCCTGAATTTATAGCAAAAGGACCCACTGAGTTATTTATTTTGATGCTATAGTTTCATTCATCTCTTAGGGTTTAATATAATGTATTTCTAATTCCTGTCAAACAGCTTGATTTATTACTTATCTTTTATTCCTCACCTCTAATTTTACAAAAATAAACCAAACCTTAAAGAAGATGATTAATTTTCATAAACTCACACATCTAATAATTGAATTGGAACTCAAATCCAGGCCTGTATGATTTCAAACCTCTTGATGACAATGCTAATATTACTACTTAAATTCAGAAGCTCAGATAGTTTCGTAAAAAGATTTACATGAAAGGGATAGGGGTAACAAGAACTTGGTTTGGACTAGGGCAAGGACTTTAAAAAGTTGGATTATTAGGAATAATTTATATTTGAATTTGGAATAAAGTATATAACATTACATTATAAACAGATTATTAACATAAAATCAATACCAAAGAACTATATACAAGCTTTTCTACTTCTTTTTTATGTCAGCAGAATTAACAATGAAGAAGAGGCTCAGTTACAGTGGAAAGAAATATGTTGATATTTGGGAATAAATGTTTCTTATTTTTAAAATGTTTATCATTTTTAAGTAAACAGTGCTATGGTTAAAATTCTGTACTTCTATCAATGCAGGTTTTTGTTTTTATTGTTTCCAGTATTTCCTTGATATCCATTAGAATTTAGTAAGTTTTAAAAAAATTCTAGCCATAGTTAAGCCAGAATGTGAAAGGCAAAAAAAAAAAAACGTATTTCAGTGGACCAGTATACATTGGAGGTAGAGGAAATTAGATTGATTACTTACCCTTCCCAAAAGGGAAGTAAGCTATAGTTAAGAGTCAGAAAAATAAACTATAGTCTTATCTTTAATCTCCAAGAATATGGGATGGAAAAGGTAGCAGCAAGATTGTGTCTCCTTCTGCTAATAAAAGAGGTTTGAAAAGGAGAGAATGTAAAGGGATAAAAATCTGCCTACAATTAACCAGTTAATAAGATGGCTAGATACATTATCTATCTGCAGATATAAATAGCTTTCTTACACATTACTAATAACATGTTCCATAATTTTTAAAAAACTTTGGTCTAGAGGTCTTTCTCTAGGGAGTGGCTATAATTGTAGCCCTGTCCTGATGGGACTCCAGGGGAGGTAGTTGTAGATGGTTACATTGTGCATTTCTCGGGATAGTTCTTTATCCTGGTTGACAGTCTAATGCCTAAGTGTCTAAACTGTGACCAGGAGTCCCTCTTACAGGAAATTTGTTTATACTGTGGCCCTTATGTGACTGGAGTCCATTTTTCCTACCAAGATAGCCATTCTATAGGAGGGCCCTAATCTTTAGAAGAGCCTTCTGCCCTGTCTAGGACAGATGCTAGATTCAGGTGTGTTGGTCAGGTGAGACACAAAAGAGGAGGCACAACAAAACACATGAATAATAGAAACAGTTTTATTACATACAGATCCCTGAGAGAAGAGGGCAGCATGCTTCACAAAGCCTGTTGGAAAGGGGGAATCATCCAGGACATGTATACTCAAGCAGAAGGTAAAGAACAAGAGAAAGAGAGAGAGGAGCTATGGGACAAGCCTTTATTGGGGCCCAGGACATTACACAAGCAGGTTTCCCAAGGGGAATTCTAATGGGCTGATTTAAAGCAAGAAAGCATGAGTTCTGTGGGGACACTGTGACTGAGAGGTGGTCACCGTGGTATATCTGTGCAGTCCATGCAAAGTGTGGGGGTCAGCGGGGCAGGTCAAGTAGGTTATATCTACATGTTTCACAGGAAGGTGGTCACCAGGAGGCAGTTGTACAAGAAAGATATCTGGATTGACCACACGGAGAAACTAGGAGGAAGTGGGAAACTGAAAACTGGGTTAAGGGTAAGTAAGCCCTGCTTCTGCTATGAGAAAGTCCAATCTATATTCAAATAGATGCTTAGGCACCATAAAATTATAGGAATTCGCTATACATGTTTTTAAAATACTACAAAGACTGTATTCACAGTAGCAATAAGAACTATAAAATATTGACGAGTAAATGAAACAAGAAATGTACAAAATCTATTTTAAAAACTAGAACTTAAACACATAAAACATCCAACAAATGAAGACATACGATGTTCCTGGATAGGAAGACACTATATTGTAAAGCAATGCAATTCTGATTCAAATCTCCTCAGTATTTTTAAAAAATAAATCTTAATTAGCTTATTCCAAAAATTACAGAAAAGGTTTATAAACACTGAGTTTTAAAAAGAATAATAATAGAATAATAGGAAAGATAATTTATTCTACTAGAAATCAAAACATACTATGCAACTAGAATAAAACAGTAAGGTATTAGCCTAGGACTAAACAAATATATTAAGGAAAAGAATGGCGTTTAGGGGGACAATTCTGAAGTACATTTCTACAATCCTACAAGATTCCTTAGAGGTTCCCCAGCAAAATTGAGCCTCAATTGTCTACAGTAGCAATCCATTTGTTTTGTTACCACACGCTTTATTGGCCCTTTTCCTTTTCCCGTCTCACTTTTTTCACTCCTCTTGTGCTTCCTAGGATCACCTCCCAATCAGAATACCTATACTGAAGTCATTTTCTTAGACTCTTCTTTGGGAAGAACCCAAACTAAGATAAGAAATACTTACGTTTTTGTTCTACATGCTCCCAAATAATATTAATTTTTCATAATGACAACATATGCATGTAGGACTTTTGTCATCCAAAAAATTTAATTAAGAAGTATTAGGCTTAACAAATTGACTTTTAATTTTAGAGTATTGTTTTGGGATTTTATGTTTTGTTTCATTAAGGGAGGACCTCATAAATAGTAATCAATGTCTACATACTCTTCCATATATCTCAAAATTTAGATTTAGAGTCCTACAAACACTTCCAGCTCATTTTGCTCTTAGCCTTTCACATTTAGAGGCTAAAAATGTGAAATCACAGAAGATGATTCCCAAAATGAAAATGTTAAAGATTCATAAATCTATAAAAACATGCCATTTATAAATCTGCTATCCCTCAAGAAAAAGTACTTAATGAGATTTATCTGTCCATCATCTAAAAATGTTTGAAGGTTTGTGTTGTGTACTATAATACCATAACTAAAGGATATTTAGAAACATTATCTCTGAAGAACACGTGGATGTTAATCACCAGGTAATGGGGAAGTATGCAGAGCTGGATACGCAATCCAGTGAATAACAGGAGAATAGTCTCAACAATTGAGTTCAGAAAATGCCATTTATTTCTACTCTAAACTGAGACCTGTTTTTTAAACAGGAAGCAGGAAGTTGAGTGCCTAGGCTAAAAGGTAACACAAGCTTAGAATAGAAAGAGGGTGATCTAAGAGGGATATGACACCATGAAGAAAAACTGGAGTTAAAAATAAATGCTCAAGATATTGCATGGTCAACAAAGAAAACCATTGGAGAAACTAGTATCATTCATATTCAAGTGTCATTGCTTGGATAAACCACACAAACCCCAGTGGGCTAGCAAATGGATAACTTTACCATAGCTGATGATGATAGGGTAGTGGAAAAGGGACACTGATTAAGCGATGTACAACATAACCATAGGATGGTGGAGTTGTGAGTATGACAGAGGAAGACCTTTAAGTAAATACTCATATCAGAAACTTACTTCTATTCATCAAACTTCATAGGAGCAAAAAGGGAGGGTGCCTAAAACGAGATATAACAGGCATTCTTTTTAACTGAAGAAGGAAAATTCAACCTGGATCTGTTTAGCAGCCAAAAAAAAAAGAATAAGTGTAGCTAGTAGCAAAATAAATAGATAAATAAATAAATGTAGTCAAGTAGTGAAAAATTTAAAGATCACAGTAACCAATGTCTTCCTATCCTTCCAAATCTTAACAGGGAGGAGGCACTAATTAAAACCCGAGCTACATAGTATGCTAAAACTACATATGATTCCTTCATTAATGTGGGTTCTGCTACTCTCAATTATATCTTCATAACATCCCAAAGCAAAATTTCCCTTTCAACTACTAATGGCAGGTATTTGAAATACCAGTAATCAATAGATAAACAGTAGTCAAGATTTTGGTACTCAGAATGCCAGATACCCACACTTGGTGAGTAGCACAGAATGTAGAAGTTCTTAAGCTGGGAATTTAGAGTTTGTGTTAAAAGAAAGCAAGAGTTTGGAAATAGTGAGAAAGGACTATGAATCTATCTGTGCAGGTTCAATGCTATCATAATATGCCTATTAGTTCAGAATAATAAGTGAAGAATCCTTTCTCCATCAAAGAGTAGAACCAATCTTTCAATTCTGCTGATACACATTCTTGAAGTGAAATAATTTTTTAAATAAGTGAAAGCTTAGTGTAATGTATTCTGGCATCTTTCAAGAGACCTCTTGAAGAAGCATTCAGTCAGCAACTTCAAGTTCAGTGCAAAATGACATAAAGCCCCAGAGAAAGATTTTTGGAGCTTAGCTAGTTTCATCATGATCTATTGCTGCATAACAAACTTAGTGGCTTAAAATGACAAACATTTTATTTGTTCATAATTCTGTGGGTCAGAAACATGAGCTGGTTTCAATTGAATGGTTTGTCTGCTGACCTCACATTAGGTCACTCATGCAGATGCTGTCATCTGGAGGTCACTTGGGATGCATGGTCCAAGATAGCCTTACTCAAAAGTCTGCTGAGTTGGTGACAGCTTTGGCTGGCCTTCTGTCTCCATGTGGTCTCCTCATCCTCAAGGAGACTGGCTGGGGCATCTTCACATGGTGATGGCAACATTCCAAGAGGATAAGAGCAAAAGCTTCAAAGGTTTCCTGATGCCTAGGCTTAGAAGTCCCAAAATATTACTTCCATTGCATTCTATTGGTAAGGCAGGTCAGAACGCCAGCCCAGTTTTAAGGGTGCAGAGAAAGGATTTCACCACTTGATGAAAGAAGTAGCAAAATCACAGTTGCAAAGAAATGTATACAGATGGGAAGCCGGGAGCTGTGGCTCAGGCCTGTAATCCCAGCACTTTGGGATGCCAAGGCAGGCGGATCACGAGGTCAGGAAATTGAGACCATCTTGGCCAACACGGTGAAACCCTGTCTCTACTAAAAATACAAAAAATTAGCCAGGCGCGGTGACTCAAGCCTGTAATCCCAGCACTTTGGGAGGCCGAGGCAGGCGGATCACGAGGTCAGGAGGTCAAGACCACGGTGAAACCCCGTCTCTACTAACAATACAAAAAATTAGCTGGGTGCGGTGGCGGGCGCCTGTAGTCCCAGCTACTCAGGAGGCTGAGGCAGGAGAATGGCGTGAACCCGGGAGGCGGAGCTTGCAGTGAGCCGAGATTGCACCACTGCACTCCAGCCTGCGCCACAGAGTGAGACTCCGTCTCAAAAAAAAAAAAAAAAAAAAAAAAAAAAAAAAAAAAAAAAAAAAAATTAGCCGGGCTTAGTGGTGGGCGCCTGTAGTTCCAGCTACTCGGGAGGCTGAGGCAGGAGAATGGCATGAACCCGGAAGGCGGAGCTTGCAGTGAGCCGACATCGCACCACTGCACTCCAGCCTGGGAGACAGAGCGAGATTCTGTTTCAAACAAACAAACAAACAAAAAAAAAAAAAAAAAAGAAATGTATACAGATGGGAGGAATTATTGTAGCAGTCTTTATAAACGATCTACCACAGCTAGGGAGATGCTTTCTCCTTTAGGAGCAGGAACAGAAGCAGAAAAGACCACAAGAGGCCTCCATACAAGAGGCTAGCCAGTATATTGATAGTGGAATCTTAGAAACAAACTGGACCACTGAGTGTTTAAATATTAAAAGAGTTAGGGGAAATACTTCCCAGGACAAACTGAAACTCTTCATTCAATGAAATATTGTCAATTCTGAAACAGTACAGGGCTATAAAATAGACCATCCGAATTTAATAATCAGAAAATTTCCCAAATATTTACTTTATTTATCTGAAATTATTTTCTGCCAGATCTTCAGATGGCTGATTTCATATTGACAATCAGCTCAAATTTTGCCTCCTCAGGGAAACCTTCCCTACCCACCCTAATTAAAGTTAACCTCACCCATCTTACCATCACGTTTTCTTCACAGCAATATTACTATCTGAAATTACTTTAATATTTATCTACTTGTCTGTGATCTTTTTCCCTTACTAGAAGATAACCTCCATGATATTTGGGATTCTATTCACGTGTTTAGCATAGTAATATCAGCTAGTGATTAATGTTTGAAAAGGTAGCAAGGTGAAGACAAGATTTTGATAATTACTTCTCCACTAATAACCCAAGTTTAGCTCATGTCTTAACTTCTGCAATAAAGCACAAAGTAGATGATACTATCTCATCATCCCTGGGTTGAAATTACCAGGCTTTTCTTGTATAAACATGCCGTCTTGGAACTTCCTATTAAGTTACAGATTCCAGTCTTTGGAATGCATCTAATTCATCTCATTTTTTTTTCATTTCTAAAACTGAAAAAAATGCCTCATTTATTATGTAAGTTAAATCAGATCCAATTTGTAAAATAAGTAGTACAGTACCTGGTATAGTGAAGGTACTCAATAAATGGTAGTTACACTATTATTCTCCACTGTTCAATTGTGAATTATTAGGCTCACACACAACTCAAACCCAATCAATATTCCATTACTTTTTGCTTTAAGTTACCAACTCCAGTCTCCTCTTTCTGAAGGATTCTGTGACTCCTCAGAAGGTCCTAGAAAACATCTGATCATTGATGTTTACAATTTTCCCATGTCCAATGCAGAAATATAACACTACTGGCATGCATAGAATCAGAGTAACACATACAGAATCAGATAAGATGTTCTTTTCACATGTGGTCATACAGTATCAAATAAAATGTTCTTGCCTGCTGAGAGCAGTCTTTCTGATTTTCTTAGTCTTCAGACATTATAGTCATCATTTACCCCTTCTCCACAAAACCCAGGCCTCCCTCATCTAAGCTTATGTTGCTCATCAGATGGTAATCTCCCCACTTTCTCTATTCTTACAATTCCATGTTCCAGCAATAGGTAACTTCTCTTAGTAATGGTGCCTTTTATGCTATCCATGCCTCAGATATTTTGTCATCTTACTTTTATTAATGTTACTGTAATGATTTCTTTCTTTTTTTTTTTTTTTGAGATGGAGTTTTGCTCTTGTTGCCCAGGCTGGAGTGCAATGGCACAATCTCGGCTTACCACAACCTCCGCCTTCCGGGTTCAAGCGATTCTCCTGTCTCAGCCTCCCAAGTAGCTGGGATTACAGGCATATGCCACCACGCCCAGCTAATTTTGTATCTTTAGTACAGATGGGGTTTCTCCATGTTGGTCAGGCTGGTCGCGAACTCCCAACTTCAGGTGATCCAACAGCCTCGGCTTCCCAAAGTGCTGGGATTACAGGCGTGAGCCACCGCGCCCAGCCACTGTAATGATTTCTACTCACATTTCATAGACACAGCATGAAATTTTTTTCATCAAGTTAAATTTGCATTAATATAATGGCTTCTTGAATCTGGAATCTGGAACGACATCTTGAACCTGGAAAGTCTGCTGTGTTTTTCCTGGGAGAGTATTTTCCTTGGATATAGGAACATCGTTTTCTGAAATCACAGGCTCCTTTTTATCCTCCTATTAAAATACTTCCCACAGGAAGTATTCTTGTTGATATTTTAGATACCGTCTCACAGGTGAGGACAGCATGTGATATGTATGTACTTGTCATCTTCCTCATCATTGATTGGTCACTTCAGCATCCCTAGAGCACTATGTTGGACTCACTGGGTCATTTCGCTATGTTCATGTCTTTTAAGTTGCTTTTAATTGTTAAGCTATTCTCAAACACTTTCTTTTTCTTCTTTATTTCATCTCTGTGAAGAGGCAATTAATAAATAATTAGGTTTGGTTATATCATAACTGACATAACTAGTTGACATAAGCAGCTAGTGGCAAATTTAATGTTATAAACCATTTTCTTGATTCTCCATACAGACTCAACAAACCATCCTCAGGAAAAGATATAGAACCTTCTTGGCTTTTTCAGAGGAAAGCTTCATTAACTTAAGAAAAGTGAGGTATAGCAGTTACCAAAGCAAATTCAGATTTTGTTTTCTCTTAGTAGAGAGAACAGTAAATCTGACATAGGGATTTTTAGGAATATGTAATGACAGTGTACCATGATGGCCAATAAAAGATCCCTCCCAATGACATCACAGTTTAAATTAAACATTGAAGAAATTATGTGACTTTGGTGTCAATGAAAAACATGGTCTGGTTCAGAAACTTGAGGTGTTTTATAAACTAAAACATTTATATAAAAGAGTTTTAGAAGCTCAAGAGTATGAAAACTATATGACCTGCCTCATTCATTTTGGTAAAATACAGGGGTAAGGGGCAGTGTTTAAGTTTTCTTCCAGCTCAGATATAGTATTATTTTGTTTAATGGCATATTCTTTAAAAAAAAAAATTTTTTTTTTCATTATGAGCCCTGAAAAAGAAAAAGACTTGAAATTGGCTACAAATTTATGTGAGGGATGCAAAAAAACATTTCTAAAGAAGGCCCATTTGTTCTGTTGAGCATTTTACTGGGTTTTGATAGGCCACGATTTCCTCAAGCTGACTTTAGGTACAGGGGACATAGAGAACGAAATTATTCTGCTACTAAAGAGTAAGAGAAACTGAGATTTTGCTCCTTAGAGAAGAGGACAGAAACTGAGAAGAATAAGAAAAGTACAGGAGGCTGACTTCAAGTTGAGTTTTTATTTTACTGTGATATGAAATGAATCCCTGCATATTACCAGCCTTCAGCAAAAATGTCTACATATATATGCTGTGAATGTGAATCTTTTTTTTTTTTTAGACAGAGTTTCTCTCTTGTTGCCCAGGCTGGAGTGCAATGGCACGATCTCGGCTCACTGAAACCTCCGCCTCCCGGGTTCAAGCAATTCTCCTGACTCAGCCTCCTGAGTAGCTGGGATTACAGGCATGCGCCACCACGTCCAGCTAATTTTGTATTTTTTTAGTAGAAACTGGGTTTCTCCATGTTGGTCAGGCTGGTCTTGAACTCCCAACCTCAGGTGATCCTCCCGCCTCGGCCTCCCAAAGTGCTGGGATTACAGGTGTGAGTCACTGTGCCCTGCCAAATGTTTTTAATGGCCTTATTAAGGAAAAAGCCCAAAATCCAGTACTGAGTTAACATGCTATGAAACATAGGCTACATGAACAGGGTGGTGTATGATCTATAAACTAGACTGAGTAAATTGAAAAAAAAGAGCCAGAGTAAGAAATGACTATGAGATCACAAGCGCCCAGGAAATTCATATAAATCTTAACAAAAATTTTGTAAGTCTACAATCCACAGGATAATGCTGCATTAAGTCAGTCTCACCCATATCTAAGGTTGCCTCAAAGAACTAAGGTAATATGTGAATTATGTGAATTATACAAGTTATGTTTGAGTGGTTTCACTAAAGAAAAAAATATTACATATGCTTATGCAACAGCTCTAGCTGTGTCCTTGATCCCAGACTCTCTAACCTCTTCTTGACCTTACTACCTTTCTCTTTCACCAAGTGAAATTTTCCTTCTCTACTAGCAGCATGCTCTCAGATGGTAATTAGTTCCTCTCATGTTAAAAAATCAACTCCTTAATTCATATTCCTCCTAATACCACCAACTATTTTCTCTTCTCATTCAGACTTCTAGCCATAGTCTATATTTTTCGTCTTCACTTTCTTACAGCACATTTATTCTCAATTCAGTTCAAGCTAGAGGTATCACATTACCTGATTTCAAACTATACTATAAGACTACAGTAACTGGTACAAAAACAGACACATAGACCAATGGAATAGAATGAAGAAATAAAGCTGCACACATACAGCCATCTGATCCTCAACAAAGTCAACAAAAATAAGCAATGGGAAAAGTACTCCATATTCAATATATTTGTTCATTATAAATATTAAAGTGTCGTCTTTAATTAGCTACACACTAACACTTGTAAAACCATTGCTTATAAAACTATTTTTTTTAATTCGTTCATTTCCTAGTGGCTGAATTTTAGAACTTTCTTCTTTTGAATGGCCTTACTCACATAATTTGTTTGCTGCTTACAATAATAGAATTGATATATACCACAAGAGGGCTATCCCAAATTTATAAAAATGTTGTATTGTAATAGAAAATTATTGGGTTTGGGCAGCCTAGCATTCATTTATCCATCTGGAAGGAACGTTATTTCCTTTTGGGGAATAACTTCTAACCCTGTGAACACAATCTGATGGGACTGACATATCCCATACAGGATATCCCTGTATAACAAATTAGGCCAGGTAATTATATTCTCTTTTTCCAGAATATAATTTTAAAAATTTATAGCCTTTTTATTATAAAACACAGATACGGTAAAAAACACAAATATATGGTTTAGTGAATTACTACAATGCAAACAATCTTTCAACTACCATCTACATTAAGTAAAGAACTTTTTCAGCCATTTCAGAACCCCCTTCATTTAGCTCATCCCGAAGACTATTCCCTCCTTATAAAAATCATCATCATCCTGAATTTTATAGGTTTCTTCAACAAAGATAATGATAACCACAGGCCTGAAGATACTGGTAATTTAGGCTGTGGGGGACATCTTATAATCTAGTTCTGTTGTAAATGATCTCCAGATAGTTTTGCTATCTAGCTGCTTCCTCTAATTTTATGCAGGAATTCAAGAATATTTAAAAACTCTGCAGCCACCTCAACACCTTTGTCCCAGAATTCCTGAAATTGGAATCTTGAGCAGATGAATAAATGTATTGAAAACAGTTGAACACTTAGTGGAGATGTTTTAACTAAAATTTTGCTGATAAAACTTTCCTATAGTTCTTGTTTACTGATGCCCAGAGCTGCCTTGGTTCTTAATATCCTTCTGACAAATATCTTTTCACTTAAGTTAGCTAGACAGTTTCTTTTGTTTGAAAACAAAGAACCCAAACTATATGGAAACTCTTAAGTCAGTAGTAAACTTGTTTCATCTCCAACATTTAAAGATCTTAGAAGTTGTCTCTGACCTCTTTACAACAAGAACAATCTGATCTAACTAAAAAATCAATGACTCTACTTGAACCCATCATAGAACTAATGCTTTGAATCAAACCACCATCCTGAAATCTGCAGAGGCATGTTCTTCCAGAGAAATAAAGCAACTTATATCTGCTTAACTTGGAGCAGAAGTCACTGGAGACATAAACTGTTAGAAACACTTAAAAGTAATAGTTTTGATAAATTGCTGGAGGCTGAGTGTAGACTAGTGTGAGAATAAGAAACTCCTGGAGACTGCAGGTCTCACACTTTTACGGTCTGTCTGAGTCTCACCAAGTTTTCATCATGAAGATCCCAGAAAAATTCACTCTTGGTTCTGGCAGGAAAAGGGGGCTTCTAAAGGGGATCTATGTGCAAACCACATGTAGATCCTTCCCCATAACGAAGGCCTACTCTCCAGAGAAAACTTCTTTGCCAAAGTATAATTCTGATAACTTATCCCAGGTGGGGAAAAAGAATTCCTGCCCACTTCAGCCCCTTTTGGCCTTCCTATTTCATTTAAGGGTGGGGAGAGAGACCATAGTCAACTGGAGACAAGCCTTAGGAAATAGATTGACAATATTGCAGCCAGAGAGTAGAGAGTAGGGGATAAATGCTATAACACTGAAAAAAAGGACAGAAACATTGGTGAAGGCCATAGACTCAAGGCTTAGACCACTAAAAGAGTGACAGTCAATCAGAAAATTATGAAGTGCTTCTCCTCCCACATACCCTACCACCATACTGGGAAGTCTCAAATATAATAACAGTGGAATATAGCTGAAAGAGCTGCAAGACACAGACTGTCTTTGAAGAACAGTACATATGAGGTACATATGAAGACTGGAGACAAAATAAAAACAAAAATCCCAGAACACTAGAGAAATCTGAAGTCTCTGATTCCTAGCCAGATTGACATACATCTTCTTACTAAAGTCCTATTTGTATAAATAGTATAAATACAAAAACAGAACCCACACCTAAGCATATTCAGATTTCAGAAAACTAAAGACAAAGGAAATCTTGCCCAGACTTCACCATTACAATATACGTTAATGTAACAAAAACTGCACTTGTACCCCTTAAAAATTTATACCAAAAATATTAATTAATTTTTTTAAGCAAGGTGGAAAAAACACCTCACATATACAGAAAAACAGATAATAAAGCATAGCAGACTTCTCATCAGAAATGATGCAAGCAAGAAGAGAATGGAGTGAAGTATTTAAAGTGTTGAAAGAAATAAAAATCAACCTAAAATTCTATATTTAGTGAAATTATCTTTCAAAAATGAAAGAGAAATAATATCAGTAGCGTGGTAGAATATTGGAGAGATCCAAAAAACCTTCCTTCCACAGAACATCTAAAAATGTTCTATAAAATTAAATATAGTTCACTTTAATTATTGAATGAACCTGCAATAAACTAAGAGAAATCCACCAAATATAGGACTGCATCAGGAACACAAGATCAAGAAGACATGAAAACTCTAAAGCCAGCAAATTCTTGGCCAACTCTGAGTCATGGTAGGTTAGAGCTACTGTGCAGAAGACAGTATGGGAACAAAGATCATGCTGCATAAAGGTGGAGCCCTGGAAGGCCTACCATCTCAGGGAAAGAGTGAACTAGAAAAAAAAGAAACTTGAACTTGTAATCAAATAGACAACCTGTCTCAGCATTGGCTCTGGATAAAAGTTTGTTTGTTTGCTTAAGTCTCTCCACAGAAAACTGTGACCTTTTTCTGACCCTCACAAGAATTTAGGGCCTAAATCTACATTAATGGAAGGTGAAACTTAAGTGGAGTTGGGTGTGTTGTGTTTATAGGCCCCTCTCCCTAGAGGAGCGTACATTTATGCTAGCTTCAAGGAATTTCTACAGATAAAGTTCCAAGTATTATTTAATAACAATTTTAAAATCACAAACACAAAAGAAAATAAGCCATCAGAAACAGGAGTAAACAACACAGTGAATAACAAGACCCTGACATACTTCAGGTATTGAAACTATTAGACAAAAAAATTTGTTAACTATGTCTTCAGAAATATAACAGGGATTGACAAATATGAGCAATGAAAAACAAATCAATGAGACAAAACTCATCAGGAAAATTTGAAAACTAACCATACTGAACCTTCAAAAATGAAAATGTAATGAAATTTAAAACTCAATCAAAAGGTTAAAAAGCAGATTAGATACAGCTAATTAGAATTAATGAATGGATTATAAAATTGAAAAAATATTCAAATTGCAGCTCAGAGAGACAGACAGGTATAGAGAGGTTTACAAACATAGAATATAGAGTGAGAAGAGCTAATTAGCATTTCCAGGAAGAGGTCATTCAAATAAGGAGAAGTAATATTTAAAGAAATAATGACTAATAATTTTAAAAAGTTGATGAAAGACATCAATTATCATATTCAGGAAGGTCAACAAATCCTGAACAGTATAAATAAAAGAAATTCCCACCCCAACATAGAGTGAAGCTGCAAAACAACAAAGACAAGAAGAAAATCTTAAAAGCAACTAGAAAGAAATGATAGATTACCCAACAAAGGAGACACAATTAAACGACAGCTTAATTTCTTAATAATAACAATGGGCCAGGTGTGGTGTTGTGCACCTGTAGTCCCAGCTACTCAGGAAGCTGAGGTGGGAGAATTGCTTGAGCCAGGGGGTTTGAGTCCATCCTAGGCAACAGAGCAAGACCCCATTGCTTTAAAAAAAGGAGTCAGAAGATAATGAAATAATATACAATTGAAAGATCTTCTGAGAAGGAAAATAAAATAAAGACACTATCCAAAAAAAATTGAAAACAGGATTTATCACCAAAAGACTTTCACTGAGGGAACATGAAAAGAATGTACTTCAAGAGGAAGCCAGCTGATTCCAGTTGGATGTACTGAGATGCTCTTCTTAAGAAGGAATGTTGGAACTTCACTAGAACAAGACACTAATGATCCTTAGGACCACATTTACAGAAAATTGTATTTATTTCTTCCAAACGTGATTTTAGATTTACATATATTTGATTTTGCCAAGAGGTTAAAAATTCTGTAAGAACCTAGTATGCTTTCCAGGCAATATACTTTTTTAAAAAAGGTTTTTAAAAACATTACTAACAGGATGAATATAGTAGGAGAATATTTTACATTTCTGTAGTCCAAGAGACTTGCTTCTGGCTAACAAGTACATTTCTGGGAAAGCTTGCTCAATCTGAATCAGAAAGCAGAGAAAAGAAGCAGTCAGATCAGCAGGAAGAACAAATGTTGCAAATGGAAGAAAACACAGACAGATGGCTCAATCTGTGTTAGATCACACTGAACCATTGTGAAGGCAAGTAAGGACATTAATTGTTCAGAGCATGCACATAGTGAAATGGGAGGAAATTATTCATTATTTGCAGATGGATTTCCTGATACTCTACAGAAAGACTACTAACATACCTGCATAATGCTGTCCCCAGAGGAAATGAAAAGATTTGACATTTTCTCCCAAAATCGATCTTAGTTTCACATTTACAAAGAAAGAGCCTTCATTGGACTATTTATCCTTGTGGCTATTTTTATGGCTTTTTCATTGGTTTAAAGCTGAAAAATATTAGAAAAATTTGGAGTGATTTGCTTACTAAAAAGCCATATTATAAGTCCGTATTATTTCAATTGGTGCCAGATAATACTTCAGTAATTGTCATCAAAAAATGCGAGAGCTTTTTGTCAATGACAACAGTTGTGAAGAAGACAATAGTTTCTCTCATTCATGCCACATTAAAAATTAACTTTTCTACTTTTAACTTCCTTGTCCCCAGGAAGATTTGACCTCCAGAGCCAAAATTACTATTTTTAGCTACATTTATCTCAGCTGGGTATCAATAGATACCCAGTATTATCTAACTAATTTACATTACAGTGTTTCTAACTAATATTCCTTCCAGGGTTACACTTTTAAAAGAATTCTTCTTAACCAGAATGAAACACTTATTGGTAGAATGTCCAGCAACTGGCAAATTTCTAAACATCTACTGTATCAAGGTGGCATGTCAAGTCATTTAAAAAAGGACATATTTTGAGGATAATTGGCTAGCCATTTGGAAGAAAAGTAAAATTAGATCTCTACTTCAGGCCATAGACAAATACAATAAAAGATTCATGATTAATTATCATAAAGTTAAAAATAAAAGTTAAAAATTCAAAAGAAAATATAATAGGAAATGTTTTATTATTCTTTATACTAAGCCTTTCTTATGAAACAAAACTAAATAAAATTAAGAAAAATATTGAAACTTTGATTACATAAAATTTTGTGATTTTTTAAATTTTAATTTATTTTAGAGACAGAGTCTTGCTCTGCTGCCTAGGCTTGAGTGCAGTGGCACAATCATGTCACTGCAACTTTTGTTTGTCTGTTATTTTATTTTAAGTTCCAGGATACATGTGCAGGATGTGCCGGTTTGTTACGTAGGTAAATGTGTGCCATTGTGGTTTTCTGTACCTATCAACCCACTGCCTAGGTATTAAGCCCAGCACGCATTAGCTATTTTTCCTGATGCTCTCCCTCCCCCTACCCCGCCCCTCCTGACAGGCCCCAATGAATCACTGCAACTTTGAACTCCTGGGCTTAAGTGATCCTCCTGCCTCGGTCTCTCAAAGTTCTGGCATTATAGGCATGAGCCACTGCACCTGGCCTCACATAAAATTTTAAATATCATCCAGTAAGAAAGACCATATACAAAATTAAAATTATGAATGAGAAATTGAAAAGATATTTGTAACATATATGATAGACAAGGAAAGCCAGTAAAGGCAGTGTTTAAGAGCATAGGCTCAGAAATGAGATTGCATAGGTTCAGATATTAACTACACCACATCCTTAGTCTTTTGACCTTAGGCAAGTTATTTAACGTCCTTGGGCCTCAAGTTTCCTCATCTATAAGAAGGAGGTAATAATAAATCTATTTTCTTGGGTTAGCTGAGAACTATTATAATTGCCCATGATATATCAAAGGTTAATTAAATCAATAAGATAAGCGGAACTGATCTACTAGATATTGAACATGAATAAAAACCTATCTATCCATTTCATCTTATTTTCAGCTACTCCTTGGCACAAATCTTACATATCAAATTGTCCTGGTCCACATTCTCTTTAAATTGGGTGTAGATTTCTGTGATGGTTAATTTTCGATGCCAGCTTGACTGAGTTAAGGGATACCCAGCTGGTAATAACTGGTAAAGCATTATTCCTAAGTATGTCTGTGCAGCTGTTTCTGGAAGAGATTGGCATTTGAATTAGTGGACTCAGTAAGGAAGATCCACCCTCCCCCATGGATAAGCAACATCCAATTGGCTGAGGGCCTGGATAGAACAAAAGGGCAAGAGAAAGCTGAATCTGCTCGCTCTTCTGGAGCTGAGACACTCATCTTCTCCTGCCCTGGCACATCAAAACTCCAGGTTCTCTGATCTTTGAACACTGGGACTTAATCCAGCATCCCCTTACTGCCTGAAGTTCTCAGGACTTTGGACTTGGACTGAACGATGCTACCAGCTTCCCTGGCTTTCCAGCTTGTAGATGGCGTATCATGGAATTTCTCAGTCTCCAAAGTAATGTGAGCCAATTCCTATAATAACTCTCTTCTCTATCTAATCTATTAATATTTACATTTCTTATTGTTTTTCATTTACCTGGAGAACCCTAATAAAACTTCCTGTTGCATACCTTTAATGTCATCATCATTATCTCAGTCCAAAATTCTCCTTGCAGTCACTGGAAGTAAAATATTAATATCACCCATATTTTAAATTCAAACTCAAATCCTGCTTTTAATATATTATTAGTCAGCCAAAATGTTGCATTCTCTCTCTGAATTTCTAAGGAGTCTATAATACTAGTTTCTACATATAATCAAATATTGTTTTGTTCTTTCGGTGTGGAATATGTACATGTTTTATCTCCTACAGAAATTTGTAAATTTTCACAAGCAAGAATCTTCTTCTACTTCTTTAACCTCACAATGCATAGTAAGTACTTATTGTGGAAATGTTAAAATTTTTTTCTGTTTTCCATAACATTGATCTGCTACAGGCCAATCAGTGAGAATGTATATAGAATTCCCATACCCGTAATCTGTTCACCACCACCACCAACTTTCGCCCGAAACCCTTACCCTACATACACACTTAGAAAAAGAAACAAACATTTCCCAAATGGCATATGGTTCCTTTTGTTACTTGCACTTAACTAATAAATATATGAGACATGATCTGTGCTATATTTTTAGCTGAAAGGGGGAATGGGTGGAAGAGTTAAGCAGGCTATTTCAGTGTTTAAGAGAGATGATGGTGGCTTGGGCAGGATGGTAGCAGAGGAGGTCAAGATGGGATCAGGCTGGGTGTGGTGGCTCTCACCTGTAATCCCAGCACTTTGGGAGGCCCAGGTGGTGGCTCATCTGAGGTTGGGAGTTTGAGACTAGCCTGACCAACATGGGGAAACCCTGTCTCTACTAAAAATACAAAAATTAGGTGTGCATTTCTGTAACGGGTGTGGTGGTGCATGTCTGTAATCCTAGGTACTTGGGAGGCTGAGGCAGGAGAATCACTTGAACCTGGGAGGCAGAGGTTGCAGTGAGCTGAGATCGCACCACTGCATTCCAGCCTGGGCAACAGAGTGAGACTCCATCTCAAAAAAAAAAAAGAAAAAAAAAAGAGATGGGATCAGACTCCAGATACATTTTGAAGGTAAAGGCAGCATATTTGCCTGCAGACTGGATATAGTGTGAGAAAGAAAGGTCAAGGGCAAGATCCAGAATGTCAACTGCATAGCTGACTTCAGAAAATAACCAGTTCAAATCAGAGCAAATGGATGAAGAGGGCATAGGTTTCCAGATGAAATGGGCAAAATATCTTTGTTTTGAATACCTGAAAATTATATTAGTAGGCGTATAACAGATTTAGTAGAGCATATTTAAAAATTAAGAGTAGATACATAGAAAATGAACCAATAAACAAACCAGGCAATTATTAATCTTAGGAAAAAAATATTAAATATATAATAAAAGGTATATAAGCACAGGTTTATTTAGCTTTGCAGGGAACAATATTTTTATAGTATTAATAACATAAACACAGAGTAATTGATTTAGCAAAATATTGTGATAGAACTCTACTGGAAGGATGAGAGGAGGGGGAAAACTACAAAAAACTAAATAAATCCTTATTTGCCATAACAGGAAGTCAACAGATAAAGTATAAAATTATCAAATCAAGAAATAGGATTATGAACATATTATTTAGATGTGGAGGTAAATATAGAGGATACTGCTAAAAATAGTGAAAAATGATACCTTATACGGTAAGGCTAATTTTAACATGAATAATTACAGTTAACTGGAACCTCAGATATTCTTTTTTTGTTTGTTTTTGTTTAATTTTGTATTTTTTTATTATACTTTAAGTTCTAGGGTACATGGGCACAACGAGCAGGTTACATAGGTAAACATGTGCCATGTTGGTTTGCTGCACCCATTAATTTGTCATTTACATTAGGTATTTCTCCTAATGCTATCCCTCCCCCCTACCCCCACCCTGCGACAGGTCCTGGTGTGTGATGTTCCCCATCCTGTCTCCAAGTGTTCTCATTGTTCAATTCTCACCTATGAGTGAGAACTTGCAGTGTTTGGTTTTCTGTCCTTGTGATAGTTTGCTCAGAATAATGGTCTCCAGCTTCATCCACGTCCCTGCAAAGGACATAAACTCATCCTTTTTATGGCTGCATAGTATTCCATGGTGTATATTTGTCACATTTTCTTAATCCAGTCTATCACTGATGGACATCTGGGTTGCTTCCAAGTCTTTGCTATTGTGAACAGTGCCTCAATAAACATACATGTGCATATGTCTTTAGAGTGGCATGATTTAAAATCCTTTGGGTATATACCCAGTAATGGGATCACTGGGTCAAATGGTATTTCTAGTTCTAGATCCTTGAGGAATCGCCACGCTGTCTTTCACAATGGTTGAACTAGTTTACACTCCCACCAACACTGTAAAAGCATTCCTATTTCTCCACATCCTCTCCAGCATCTGTTGTTTCCTGACTTTTTAATGATCGCCATTCTAACTGGTGTGAGACGGTATCTCACTGTGGTTTTGATTTGCATTTCTCTGATGACCAGTGATGATGAGCATTTTTTTGTGTGTCTGTTGGCTGCATAACTTTCTTCTTTTGGGAAGTGTCTATTCATATCCTTTGCCCACTTTTTGATGGAGTTGTTTTTTTCTTGTAAATTTGTTTAAGTTCTTCGTAGATTCTGGATATTAGCCCTTTGTCAGATGGGTAGATTGCAAAAATGTTCTCCCATTCTGTAGGTTGCCTGTTCACTTTGATGGTAGTTTATTTTGCTGTGCAGAAGCTCTTTAGTTTAATTAGATCCCATTTGTCTATTCTGGCTTTTGTTGTCCTTGCTTTTGGTGTTTTAGTCATGAAGTCCTTGCCCATGCCTATGTCCTGAATGGTATTGCCTAGGTTTTCTTCTAGGGTTTTTATGGTTGTGGGTCTAACATTTAAGTCTTTAATCCATCTTGAATTAATTTTTGTATAAGGTGTAAGGAAGGGATCCAGTTTCAGCTTTCTACATATGGCTAGCCAGTTTTCCCAACACCATTTATTAAATAGGGAATCGTTTCCCCATTTCTTGTTTTTGTCAGGTTTGTCAAAGATCAGATGGTTGTTGATGTGTGGTGTTATTTCTGAGGCCTCTGTTCTGTTCCATTGGTCTGTATCTCTGTTTTGGTACCAGTACCATGCTGTTTTGGTTACTGTAGCCTTGTAGTACAGTTTGAAGTCAGGTACAATGATGCCTCCAGCTTTGTGGAACTTCAGAGATTCTGGTTCAATAGGTTAGAGTGGGCCCCCTGAATGTACATTTCTAGCAAGCTCACTCCTAGCCTGGGCAACATGGCAAAACCTTCCCTCTACAGAAAATACAAAAATTAGCCAGGCATGGTGGTGCACACCTGTGGTCCCAGCTACTGGGGGGCTGAGGTGGGAGGATCGTTTGAGCCTGGGAGGTGGAGGTTGCAGAGAGCCGAGATCATGCCACTGCACTCCAACCTGGGTGACAGAATGAGACCTCATCTCAAAAAGAAAAAAAAATAAATAAAAGCCTCACTGGTGATGCCAATGCTACTGCTCTTAGGTCCAAACTTTGAGAAAAACGGCCACAGAAAGTAGAACTAAGGAGTTAGAAACAGTGGAACAGAAGACACCTGTTTTTCATTATAATTATTTTAGTAGCGTGGTTCTCAAACTTGGGTGCTCATTGGAATCACCTGGGGATCTTTGAAAACTACTGATGCCTGGATACCATCCCCAGATGTTGTGATGTAATCCATCTGAGGTGCAACCTGGTGTTGGTGCTTTTAATAGCCCTCCAGGTGATTTCCATGTGTGGCCAAGCTAGAGAACTACTTTTTAAGTGCAATTTTAAGTATGTGCATAAACTAATTTTTAACATTAAAGTAATTATCTGTATAGTCTGCATGGGAGTGGGAAGACTGTCAGACGAAGAGCTGAAAGACATGGAATTATGTCTGATATGATCCTCTGCCACGAGCCAGCTCTGTATCATTGGGAAAGTCACCAAATCTATCTGGGCTTCAGTTTCCTCATGTGTAAAATTATGATGTTGTACTAGCTATTCTCAAATGTTCTTTTCAACTTCACATTTTTATGGATAATTGCTATAATGCTCTATGCTATAAAATTTTACAGCAACAAAAATACTCCATGTGGATACCAAGAGTAATTATTATTATTTAGGAAACTATATTATAAATAATTTTATTATTTTTAAGTATCTTTTTCATATATACATACCACTTATCCCCAGTGCCTATTTGTTTTACTCAGTACAATAATCAAATCACCCTAGAAAATAAAGATGAAAACAGTTGATATTAATTTATACTTGATTTCTCTAAAACATCATTTGCCAAATTGCACCCATGAAGAGGACAAAATAGTCCACCCTTGGGTTATTGTAATTTACTTTCTCAATAGTGATAATGGGCAGATTCTGACCCTTCTATTGGGCTCATATGTCTATCTACAAGGAGTACCCTTTTGCAAGATGTCCACCTCTAACTAACTTTAAGGGGGCAGTAGGAGTGTGGTCATAAAAGTTCAGGCATATGAAAGTAGAGAAAGCTCTCACTTAACATTGTCAATAGATTTTTGGAAACTGTGACTTGAAGCAAAACAACAGATAATGAAACCAATTTTGCCATAAGCTAATTGATATAAGTGAGAGTTAAGTTCCTATAGCATATTTTGGTCACAAAAATATCACCAAACTTCTAAATAAAAACCAAACACTTCTAATATTAAACATTAAAATAAATGTGAGCTATGTATAAATTCTTAAATGATTAATAAAAACAAGTATGATAATTACTTACCCAATTATTCCAGCTCAGATGGCTGGAGCCTATTTTGGCAGCTCAGGGCACAAAGCAGGAACCAGCCTGGACAGGATGCCTTTTCATCACTGGGTATACTCATACACATACTCATCACCGGGTATACTCATACACACACACACTGACACACCCACCCATGCTAGGACCATTTAGACACTCCAATTCACCTAATGTATGCATCTTTGGGATGTGGGAGGAAACCAGATTACCCAGAGAAAACTCATGTAGACATGGTGAGAACTTACCAACTCCACACAGATAGTGGCCTTGGCTGGAATCAATTTTTTTTCTCTCATCAATGTTATAATGAAACCAAGTTGAAGAAAATGAGGTTATTCAAGGACCTGCTGTAATTGTTTGGAGTGGTGGCTAAACTCCCTGGTGACTCCTCATTACTCAAAGGTCTTACCCTGATTATCCCGGAGACCTAGAATAATTGTGCTATAAATTCTCAATCATGACGCCGGGCGCAGTGGCTCACGCCTGTAATCCCAGCACTTTGGGAGGCCAAGGCGGGCGGATCACAAGGTCAAGAGATCGAGACCATCCTGGCTAATGCTGAAACCCTGTCTCTACTAAAAATACAAAAAATTAGCCAGGCGTGGTGGCGGGCACCTGTAGTCCCAGCTACTGGGAAGGCTGAGGCAGGAGAATGGCATGAACCCAGGAGGCGGAGCTTGCAGTGAGCTGAGATCGCCCCACTGCACTCTAGCCTGGGCGACAGAGTGAAAATGAGTCTAAAAAAAAAAAAAAAAATTCTCAATCATGAATACTAACAAAGAGAGATTTGGGGAATGAGGATTGATATAAATAATCCAAGGGATTTTATATTGACTTCAAAATACACTATACAGAGAGAACTTCCAATTTGTCTTTAGAATTATGTTTTCCTTAGAATAATTTAAAATCAGTTATCATTTTTTGAGTCAATAGAGATAACTGGTGTTGCATAGGTAGAGAAGGAAAACTGGTCTGAAACAACAAAAATTAGTTGCTCATAATTACAGATGGATTATCAAGAATAAGTTATTTATTAAAATAAACATATTCATGCACATGTGTGTTTGTCCGTGACTTTGACCTCTTGCCTTTTAAGGAACTTTTTTGCTCAGATGGAAATCATAAGCTAAAATAAAAGGTGAATTCTAAAATGAAATGAGGTCAGAGCCATGTGCCATGATTTTGCAGGTAGTTAAAAATGAACTGAGAATTCACCATCTGGTGAGAGGCATCTTGGGGAAGCAGCCACCTTCTGTTGGAAATAAATGACATGAAAGCTTGTCGAGCTATTTATTCTTAAGTAGTTGTGACCGTGTTTTGCTCCTCCACTGAAATGAGCTCAACTTTTGATCTCACACTTTTAGAATGGATATTCTTAGCTAACAGTGAGACTAATCAATTAATTTGTGCCAACAGAGAAGTTGTAGGAGACAGTCCCTTCTCTCAACCCTTAAGTTTGCCTAACTTTTCTAGGTAAAATAAGAACATGTTATCAGAATTTAAACCCTTCTAGTCTACCCAACTAGAAACGCTAATTGATAAATTTCAGGTGAGGTAGGAGAGAAGATCAGCACTAAAAAGAAGAAAGATTGGTGGTCTAGTAGGATCTTGCAACTGCCCTGAAATCACAGCATCTATGCATAAAGACTAGAAAATACACACTTACCTTTTAGTATATGTGCTACTGAAGTGAACACTACACTTACTTTTAGAAAGCAGTTTGTAAATAGAGGTATTGGCTTTCTTTACAGAAAACCTTTGAGAGTCACTCAAAATCATTTTGAAAGAGATTTATAAATAATATTTTAAAGGTAACCTCAATGAATGAAAATAATGCTAACTCATATGTGTATAGCATTTACAAATACTTTCAAAGACTGAATTTTATTCTTTATAACAACTGTGTGAGATAGGTAAAGTAAGTAAAAGCACTGTTTTACAAAGGAAGGAACCGAGATTCAAAGAGATTAAATAGAGTACTAGAAATGGTAT